>NC_000003.12:105826786-106129816 GCF_000001405.40 Homo sapiens
AGGACCAGGAGACAGGGGATGTGGTATTAGAGGATTTTCTATGTTGGTATGAAAGGAAATGTTCCCTCAACTTTCTCATTCATATATAAAATGAATTTTAAAAAATAAATGAATCCCAGGCAAGAAAGACTATGTGTGTTCACTCCCTGGTTTTCTTCAAAATGCAAGATGCGTGGTATTTACATACACTTACAGCTATGCATAATGAATGTGATGGAATTTATTAGCACAGCCACAAATACAGGGCTTTGAAAGGAAACCAAGAGTAGGACATGAATTGTTCCTGTAATATAATATGGCGCTCCTTTCAATTTTTCCCCACCTAGAGCTTCACACATAGTTTACAACGATTCTGGCAAAGGTAGGGTATTTCAACACAATGAAACATAACTAAATAACTTGGAACCAAATGCTGTCATTCAGTGAAGCTATATTCCATCCCCAGAGTAAATGACGTAAGTAACCTTCTGGACTGAAAATGACAAACCAAACAATGCTTTCTGAAAATTTCTCATTCATCATTATGAAACTTTTTTTTTCCCTCGTACCCATCTCCCACACAGAAGTTGGTTCCCATAACACTCACAATTTCTTGTAAGTGTTATTACTTAGTCTAAAAGGTTGCAAAGCACAGGGCATTTTTCCATCCATTACAATATAAACTCATAAACTCCCCAAGCAAGTAACTGAATTTTACCAGTGTGTATGTGTGTGTGTGTGTGTTCAGAAGTAACGCCAGGAACCTGGTCTCTGTTAAGGTCCTTAAACTCCCATGGACTGGCCAGGGAGCACTTTACCAGCACTGGCCCAGACATTAGCCAAAGGCAGAAAGGGGAGGGAAAGACATGAGGGAGGAAGACAAAGAAAGGGAGGCAAAGCAGACACAAAAATTTAAGACAGGAAATTTAGATTATCAAGAGACAGCACTCTGTTTACGCCTCAAATGGGTCATACATCTAACAGTTACAGATAGTCACAAAATGGTTTAATACTGAATAACTGTAATATAAAAGCAGTATTAGCATGAATCCAGTGGTTGCTCTGAAAACAAGATATAGTTAATAATGTTTTATTTCACATGAAAATGCCTTCACATATTATGCAAATTTGAAACTTAAACCTCAAAAAAACACAGCAGAAATGGTGAATTCTGTCAGCATGGTAATGTATTTTATACACAGTTTTGGCTAAGTGTGACAGAATAATACTATCTGATGCTGATGTTTATTTCCTTCTCGCCTAAGCAAAGCAGCTCTAGTCTATGGAGAAGTCAAGGACTTAGGCTCCTTCTCCCATCCCTGTTCCATCACCCTCCTTCACATGGTTGAGATGACTCATAACCCTGTTCACATTCTAGCCAGCAGGGAGCAGGAAAAAGGGGAATGAGCGGGCATGTGGCTTCCCTTTAAGGGCATGATCTAGAAGCTGCACAGCTCACTTCTACTCACATCCAATTCATCAAAACTTGCTCACAGGGCCACATCAGCAACATGTGAACCCAGGAAATGCTATCTTTACTATGGATGGATAACAATGGGGAAATATATAATGATAGGAAAGGGACAAAATGGATTTTGGAGGCAATTAGCAATCTTTAATACAGATGTCAAAGGAAACGACAAAACAATTTTCATTAAATATTAAATGCTGTTTCACTGAGTGGACTAAACTAAGTTAGAATAAGATTTTTAATTTTTGTCTTTTCTTAAAGGAGAAAATATTAAGATAGACGCCAAAATACTTGAAAGTTAAGATTATATGAAATACTAAACATTTTCTAAACTAACAAAATAAGTATCTTTTCAAATTTTAGTTCCACACATTTTTTTAGCATAAAATAGAAAAGAAATAAATATGCACTAATAAGTTTAAATAATTTCACTCTTGACCCTAGGGCAAAATACTATCTTTCCTTGAGTCATATATTTGTAAGAGAGATGATTATACATAAAATATAAACTGAAATAATTTTACAAATAAACTTTATTTTTCAAACACAACCTACTCGATTTTAACAAGAAACTGTAGGTCTAAGGAGCTCAGCCCTGAGTCCAGAAAGGTCAAAGGAAGTTTTATACAACGTTCTCTTGGGACATTTCATGACATCACCTACAAAGACAGTTCAAGAAGGTGAGAAAACATTTTAACCACAGTGGAACAGAAGCTTCTAGGGAACCTCTATACCACATTTCTAGACCAGAATATTTAACATATATAATTTGCCACAATTCTTTTTAAGTTACAGTCTTTCTTCTTCCTAAATACAAAAAAAAAAAAATTCATTAACAATCAATTTTGTTTTTTTAATCCCCTGTCCTCCCATGTAATGAATGCTGATGAGATCCTGAAATATTCCCCAAAGTAATGAAAAAAAATTAAAAATGCCCAGTTCATATAGCTCCTAAAATATGCCTCCTTTTAGGAAATACAAGTTACTTTTCTAATCTGGTTTTGTAGCTTATGAAAAAAATAAACATTCTTGAATACACAGGTAAAATAAACGTAACGAATACTGTTTGTCTTTCCATAAAGATGTTTTGTCACAGTAAAGGCAAGAAGATCAACTCTCACACACAAAACTGCAGCTATCAGCTGGGTGTGGTGACTCATGCCTGTGATCTTGACGCTTTGGGAGGCCAAGGCAGGAGAAATGCCTGAGCCCAGGAGTTCAAGACCAGCCTAGGCAACATGGCGAGACCCTGTCTCTACAAAAAATTTAAAAATCAGCCAGGCATAGTGGCATGTACCTGTAGTCCCACCTACTTGGGAGCCTACTTGGAGACTGAGGCAGGAGGATGGCTCAACCTAGTAAGTACAGGCTGCAGTGAGCTGTGTTCATGCCACCACACCATAGCCAGAGCGACACAGCAAGACCGTCCCAAAAAAAAAAAAAAAAAAAAAAAAAAAAAAAAAAACCAAACTGCAGCTATCTTCATAATAATGGAGGAAGATTTCTTCCAAAATCAAATTTTTCTATTTTTCTTCTACATTATTATACTTTTGAAACATTTCTTTATATTTCTAGTTAATTATCCTACTGCAAGAGAAATTCTTGCTATTGAAAGCCATGATAAGAAGTGTAAATCATCTATTACATATATTTGAAGTGGTATCTTCAAATAGTTTTAATTTAAGGGGATATCTCATTTCATATGTAATTAGTCAGCACATGTATAAACCCAAGGATCCCAACTGTCAGATGTATTTTATTTGCTTCCCTTTTCACTAGAATTCTTACTCTGGGGAATTCCAATGCCTTAGGTGTTATAAATGAGAACAAAGAAGAAGGAGTGATGCAGAGTTATCACACTTTCTACCTCCTCCCCTGCCCCTGCCCCAGTAATGCATTGCTGCCAACATCAAAACATCTTGGAAGGCTGTCCAGGGTATCGTTACCTTACAAATCCCCATGAACCATGATGAGAAAAGCCTACTATTAATAAATAAATAAAGCCACGTAATAGGTGTCCAAAATTGCCTAATAAGATTGCCCATTGTTTATATGACAGACATTTAGATCCTTGTACTCTGTACTTAATTTCCTACCAGAAGCAATATTTCCTATCAAAGACTTTTCCTTTGTTGTATGTAATAATTTCCCCTGACTCAGCACTATAAGGATCTGAATGTTTTTCTTCTGTTACAGGAAGCGTTGGTAACCCGGATACAGAATCAATCTTATAAAGCATCATATAACAAGAAAGATCAGTCAGACTTAGTCATGAAAGACAGGAGCCAGATTAAAAACTAGGTATTTTTTGTTGTTGTCTTAAAAGACCAATTTCTGTATCTAAAAGTTTGTTTCCAATAAATAAGTAAATAATTTACAGTCTAATATTAAGTTGTAAAGTTTAAAAACAGTAAAAATCTGTTTATATAATTTCAGAAACAGAGCCATTATCAAGTAAGAAAGTAAGACACATGCCATGTAATGGAAAGCTTATCTAAAGAGTAGCCTAATGTGAAGTACAATGTCTACTTCTCCTTCAATTAAAGCACAATGAACCAAAAACCACCAAATTTATGTCAAACTCTGTTCTCAAAAGTTGGTCAATTCATTCATTCAGATATTAACTGATTGCACATTGTCCATATAGCATGTAGTCTAGTGTAAATATAAAACATGGGAAGCACCAAAATTATAATTCAGTGACACCAAACTTCTAAGTGACTAGAACTTAGCTGAGGAGACACGGCTGACATGAAATATCCAAAATGCAAAACCTTGTCATTTAAATACGAAATTGCATGGTAACCAGAGTAACTTCCTTTCTTGTTTTATTTTTTCTGATATATACTTCCCCCAAACCAGACCATACACATAACCATGTTCATGGTTGAAAAATCAGAAGAGCAGAAGAGAAAAAGTGTAAAAATGAAAACACAATCCTTCAATTCCTCCACTCCTGAGATATCCAGCACCAAAGAACCACAATACAATATGCTTTCACATATTGTATTCTAAGCTAGGCGTATACTCCCATTCCTTTAAAATATCTTCCATGACATCTTTTCCTGCCTGTATCTCCTACCTGAGCATTAGCTTGGGGAATAGCTCAAATACATTTCCCCATTGAAAGGATGGGGATCTCCAGGTGGGCTCAGACCGCCAGGCGGGCTCAAATGCCATCCTCCGTGATTCCTGAAAATTGTGAGCTTCCCTCAAGTAGAAATGAGAACCTGAAGCATCAAGATAGAACTGTCTCTACACCACCAACTACAATGTTCTGACAAAAAGTAAAAGCTAAAAAATGCTCAAGTTCTAGCACTTGATTATTCAGAAAATGCTTCAAGAATGAGAACTTCAATTATACTTTGAAAGACAGTTAAAATTTGTTGGGGGAGAAAATAAATCATCAGAAAATATTCACAATACTAACTGTGACAACCTATTTGATAGGATGGTCAAAAAAGACCCATCTAAGGAGGTGATATTTATGCTTAGATCTTTATCCCTCCCCTGAAAATATGTAGAATCAAAAGAAAAACTTTTCAGGAAGGCAAAGCAATTTGAGGAGGCAACAAGTAGAACATACCTCAGAACTGAAATTAGACAAGTGAGGCTGAAGTTTAAATGTTATTCAAGAGTAAGCAAGAAAGTCACACATTATGTTTTTTAAATTATTTCCAATTAAGGGAACCAAATAAAAATACACAGAGGGATACTGAACAGTTAAGAAAAGAAGGTTGCAGCCAAAATGCTAGTCAAAGTAGTTTCAGGTTGATACAACAGGAAATTTTAAAAAAAAATTTAATTATATTAAATAGAGCTGGCATAATATAATTATTAAAGCAATGGATGAAAATTCTTTAAAGAAGGTATAAGGTAATGCCCGAATACTACTCACCTATTTGATGAAAACAGATGTGTACCATAAAAAGATTCCCATATACAATATACGACCCATATACAACTAAGAAACTACCCCAACAGCACCTCTGTTATAGCAATTTTGAAATTTTAATGTCCACTAAGAAGAAAATATAACATGAATCAGGATAAATAACAAACATCAGGTTCCAATTATGTGCTTCTCAGTAAAACTTTTAAATATGCTAATCTTCAGCAGTTAATGGACAACAAATAACGTGGAAAGTGGTTTTACTTGTAACTCTGATACTTCAGTTATATACAAAAACAGATTCTAGATGCTGATTCTAATTATGGATCAGCAGGCAAAAGAATGATGCATGTGGCTGTAAGACCCTTTTCATCCTTTTTAAAATGTCACATGAAAATACAATCCACAGCTGATTAAAATAAATACCTCTCAACCATACCAGATTGACAGGTCCAGCTTAAGTTTCTCTGGCTTTATCACTATTAAATTTCTTTTTCCATCTCCAGAAAGAAAACAAAACTGAACAAAACAAAAACGAACCATCAAAGCTCTTGTCCATATAAAGGTCTAACAATGCCTGCCAAGTTTTATGGTGCTCACTAAATAGGATGTAGCTCAAGATGAGTGCATTATCTATCCTTCATTCCTTCAATCTGTATTGAGTACCTACACCGTGTTGGAAATGAAGTAGGCACTGTGGTGACAGTGGTGAAGAAAACGAAGAAACAGAAACTGTGACAAGTACTGGAAAGAACACAGCAGAATACCATGAGATAAAATAATGTGTCAAAACATTTAATGATCACTCAGGGAAGGCCTCTCTGAGGAAATGACATTTAAGTTATGATACGAAAGATGTGTTAGGTAGTTGGAAAAAAATCAGGCACATGAAGCCTCAGATGTGGAGGTCCTAAAGGCCTGAAAAACTGAAAAATGATGTGAGTGGATAAAGAAGGAAGACCTGAGGGAGAGTGTCGTGAAATGAATCTAGAAAGGTAGATGATGAAGAAATATGAATGATAAACCCTTCATATGAGTAAATAATGCTTTTTGTCTTATTACTTCTCTAGGTTATAGCCATCGCAGTTTCCATTCATTCTGATCATATAATCTTGAATAATGAGAATGAATTTGAAGACTAGCAAATATTGCAACTCATTCTGTAGCAAATAATTACAACTCATTCTGCATGATTCTGAAGAACATTCCAGAATCCTGCTTCAGGCAGAATAGTGAAGGCAGAACAAATATCTCTCTCTGAGACAGACAGGCTTATTAATTTCTATGATCAGTTAAAACTAAAGACAAAATTAGAAACTTTATTGTAAAACAAAAACTAGGAACTTTTACTTTTTTTTTACAACTCATTTGGCTTTCAAAGCGACACTCAGCAAGATATTTTCTCTTGCTGCTTGCAACCAGTTTTGTTTTCTGAATAAGAAATGCTGTTAGTATTTATTTTCAGTACTTAGGGGTATTATAAATATAAATGAGTTTAATTCTGGTTTGAAAAGAACTCACATTCTTGGGTATATTCCTTATAATTTGAATAATTTTATTATTAATGGAAATTTCTAAAATTAAATATACTTTTATTTTACATCATTTAACATCAATAATAATCTAGATTAGATCTGTTTTGAAATCTTGGAACAACACAAATTTTAAAATGAAAATTCCAAACTTTATATAAGTTTCCTCTGAGACATTTAAACAATCACTGAAGACCAGTATCCTAAGGGAATTAGAACCTGATAATTAAGTAAAACCTTTCGTTTTAAAAAAAAAAATTTGAGAGTAACTATTTTTCCAGACCTTAAGGTTGTCAGGTCCAGAATTAACTTGCCCTCTGAAAAAATCTCTACCTAGCCCATTTTACTATTAATATATTTTTTAACTGCAAAAAAGACAATTAATTCAACAACCTTAAAAAATATATCAATCACAATTTCCTGGGGTGGGGGTGGGCAGTTGAGGCAGTGGATGAAGAGCTATTGGTCAAAGGATACGAAATTTCAGTTAGACCGGAGACATAAGTTCAAGAGGTTAACAATGTACTGTATATTGAAAATTGCTAAGAGGGTATATTTTAAATGTTCTCACCAGTTAAAAAAGAAAAAAAGTAAGTATGGGAAGTAATGGCTATGTTAATTAGCTTGATTTAGCCATTCCACAATGTATACATATACAGAAACATCATGTAGTACAACCATAAATGTATTTGTCATTTTTAAATAAAGAAATAGGGCTGGACACGGTAGCTCATGCCTGTAATCCCAGCACTTTGGGAGGCCGAGGCGGGTGGATCACGAGGTCAGGAGATGGAGACCATCCTGGCTAACACGGTGAAACCCCGTCTCTACTAAAAATACAAAAAATTAGCCGGGCGTGGTGGCAGGCACCTGTAGTCCCAGCTACTCAGGAGGCTGAGGCAGGAGAATGGCATGAACCAGGGAGGCGGAGCTTGCAGTGAGACAAGATTGCGCCACTGCACTCCAGCCTGAGCGACAGAGCAAAACTCCATCTCAAAAAAGAAAAGAAAATCAAGTAAGCAAGCAAGCATGACAGAAGTCAAAATCAAAAACAAAATCTTCCCCACTATACATAAATGAACTCAAGTATTCAGAAACAAAATATGAAGGACTAGGTTAAACTCCGACAATAAGAGCACAGATTTATCATAGGGAAGATGTGCCCTGCTTTTACCTTGCTGTATCACAAGATACCCTATATTCTTCAGAAATGCTGCAGTCTCAAAGGAAAAGATCATCCATGGGACACTTTATTGGAAGCTTTTCTTGTTTACCAATTAAACTATGACTTCATGTTATCACAACGCTGACAAGGTGTACAAACTATGTAACATTTTGCAACTACAGGACAGTCTGCCTTTCACATATCACTTATTAATCTCCATGAACTATTAGCATCAGCCATTTTTCAAGGCTCTTTATCTTCATTTTAACTGCAAAAAGGAATTGCTTTTTCCAGGTTCTTGAGGATTCTTTTCATTGGTGAAAAGCGGCATGTAATGTTACAAAGAATAACCCAAAAAAAGCTTTCAGTTATGAATGTATTTTCCTATATCATGAATAGTTCTAAAAACGAGCTTCAGTTTGAAAAGAGTAACTTTGAAGTCAGATTTCTCAGAAATCTTTTTGTGAAAACTGAACAACTGGATGTTGAATGATGTGTAAAACTACTATCTCACAGTGAAGGAAATGTCCAGGGAAGCTGTGGGAAATTAGAAATGATCACCATAAAGAAAAATGAACACCAGTTTAGTAGGAAGGAGAAGGGAAGACATCAGGAGAAATATTTAAATCTTTAATTCAACCAACTTGATACTGAAGCCCAACTTAGAAATTTAAAATAGTATGATTTAAAATTAAACAGAAAAATTATTTTACTCTAAGTCACACTGAAACCCAGTAAAATGTTTACACTCTTAAAAATACAACCTACTAGCTCCAGATTAACTAATTGCAGTGGATTGCTAACATATTAAAATACTTGGTGTACATTCTGCTTCTTTCTAAGCTTCAATGACCTGCAGTAAATTGAAAGCTTCCTAAAATAACATCTAATTAAAATTCTTGACAGCAGTTTGAGATTGCAGTACAGCAAATAAAGTCCTGCTCTCACCTTGTTTACTTGCCATCTGTCTCTCTTTTAAATGTCAAGTACCAAACATGCTACAAGAATTCCAGTTATTTAGGCTTTCCAGTTATTTTAATCCCACATAAATGACAGTTTACAATAAATGCATACAAAGAAGGATTAAACTTGATGCTGGAATGATGCCACACATACAGTAGAGGAAGTAAATAAAGAATAGTTACATAATGGAATGTTATCTGGTACACAATACATCTACACTGATCTTCCAATATAAAGGTTACCTCGAGTGATTAGAGGTAAACACTGCTTGCCTTTTGTGCCTCACCTCTAAAGCTTTACTTCACAACCTTAATTAATCTCTTGATAAAGATGTGGGAAGACCACCATGTTACACAACTCTCAGAGGTACCACTTCTCTTAAGAAATAGTAAAAAGGTTATGACAGCTCTGTCTAGTACACCTTTCCTTCACTAATGGTTTCTGAAATCAAAAGATCCTCTCAATGAAGTCCAGCAGCCCCATCCTCTCTTTCTAACACGCTTACCTGGATCAAAATAATTTAGCATAGTTATCTGTGTCTAACATGATCTCCCAGGAAATGAAGTGTGGATTTGGGAGTGTCCTCAATCTTGCTATAATAAATAAAAATTAAATTTAATTGTGTAAGAACTATCCAGATAAATTTTAAAAAGTAATTCAAGGAGGTTCCCAAATTAGTCTGGGGACATACCATGAGCACCCCGCAGAGGCAATATGAAACAGGAGTTTATCTTAGGGCTGGGTTTTGACCTCCAGAGTTATAAGAAAAGAAAAACTATTTCACAAATATTTACGGGCAAGTTTCGGAACCACAGTATGGCCTGAGAAATAGGGCAAATATGACGGTTTCTTACATGAAGGGATCATGGCCAACTAAAATGGTAAAGCTGAGATTACTGACATCCCACACTAGTTAACTTACAAAAACACACAAAACCACCCCCACCCTTGGTCTAGTGAGTCAAAACAAACTGCTGACAAACCCTAACAGCTATGTGAGGGGGCGCAACGATAATACACAGTGAGAACACACATGCCTCTGTTTTCCTGTCAAGTCTAAGTCTGCATGGTGGATGTAAGAAAACAGCAATTCCTTTCTTTAAAAGCCCTGCCTACATATTCAAAATATCTCAGATGTCCCTCAAAGCTGATATGCTCACATCAAAACAAAACAAGACCAAAAAAAAAAAAAAATCATTTATAGCAAGAATATTAGATCCAACCCTCCGACCTTTACTTTAAAAGGAAAGAAAAAGAGATAGCAGTTAAGCAATACATAAATACAAAATAGCCTTAGCTAAAATTTAAAAACTAGTTTTCAAGTTTGGAAATCTTCATCCGTATTAAGGAATTCCGTCAACAAGGACACAAGACAATTCCCACAATAAGACTTAAAAAACATTGTGCACGCGTATTAATGCACTGCCTCAAGAGTCCTGAATAATATAACAACCATCTGCTGCACAGCAAGCTATAAAGAGGATGAAGCACTTCTGTCAATAATACATACCAAATGAAACTGGACTATTCATGTCGAAAGCATAGATTTTTGGAGGATTCCCCAGTTGCCGAAAAGTCCTGTGTATTCAGGGTCATAAGTACAACACATCACAGAAACAAAAACAGTCTTTGAAGAAATGTTAATATAAGAATAAGAGGAAGTGAAAACACTCATTGGAGCTCAGATACAGAACTAATAAGTCAATAAGAAAGCTATGCAATATGCTCATTGCTTTGAGTAGTTTGTGAGAGTAGGCAGAATGATGTGAATTTTTTAGGAATTTATCTTACAGGTACTAAGTGTAGCTACAAGGACACTCCATTAAAGAAGTACTTGTAAACTGTAGTAATTTCATGAACTTTGTCCAAGAATGTTATTACAGTAAAGCTATTTTGAGAATACATACAGTTAAGAGTTGCTTTGAAATATATTTATAATTAAAACATAAATAATAATGATATTACTATCCTTATAAGCATTTTCTTTTCTTCTAAAATCGCCAGTACTCATTCCCAAATGTGAAGAAGCTGACATTCAGAGTGTACCTACAAATTCTAAAAACAAGCCTTCAGACACTTCAACACTTTCCATTGTAACATCTCTCTTCTGCCTCCCTCCAGGCCCCAGCAGCTCGTAATCTAGGAATACATCAGGATTTTCAAATCATCCTATAGTAATTCTAAAGAAATAACCATATATTATTATGAGTGTTTGCCAAGTATAAAGCACTGTTCTGGATACCATGGGAGACACAGAAGAGACATAGCCTATTACCTTTTTTTTTCCTTTTTTTCTTTTTTTTTTTTTTTCTGAGACACGTTCTCACTCTGTCACCCAGGCTGGAGTGCAGCGCCATGACCTCAGCTCACAGTAGCCTCAACCTCCTTGGCTCAAGCAATCTCACCCATTTCAGCCTCCAGAGTAGCTGGGACCACAGGCATGGGCCAACACACCTGGCTATTTTTTTTTTTTTTTTTTTTTTTTTTTTGTAGAGATGGGGTCTCTCTGTTACCCAGGCTCCTAACACCATTTTAAAAAGATAACAATATTTGACAATATATCATTAACTGCCACATGAAAGGCCTTGATAAATGCTATGGTCAGAAGGAAAAGACACATTTTAGCTAGAATGATCAGAAAATCAGAGCCAAGATGGGCATGGGGATAGAGTGGGAATGTTAGCTATGCCAGTAATAAGAAAGAATATCTGCATAAACTGGAAATAGGAAAGGGAGGAGAAAGGGGCAGGATAAAAGGCTGGCAAGCAAAGGTAAATTCCAAGGATAGTGATTAGGCTAATCTCAGAAAAACATAAGAAGAGAATTGCAATCCATCTTTTCCAACAAAACTTTAAAAACCTTACAGAAATGTATCCTTCTTTTTTTTTTTTTTTTTCTGTCGCCAGGCTGGAGTGTAGTAGTGTGAACTCGGCTCACTGCAATCTCCACCTACCAGGTTCAAGCCATTCTCCTGCCTCAGCCTCCTGATTACAGGCGCATGCCACCACACCCAGCTAATTTTTGCATTTTTAGTAGAGACAGGGTTTCACCATGTTGGCCAGGATGGTCTTGATCTCCTGACCTCTCAAAGTGCTGGGATTACAGGCATGAGCCATCACGCCCGGCCCCCTCTTCTAAGTGACTCGAGACTGGAAGTGGATTCCTCTGGTAGTATAAAGGAAGCTTAGTAAAATGAAAGGAGTTCTGAACACATCCAGGATTCCATCCCCACCTGTGCCACCTCAATAGTCCTTGATAAGATTATACATAAAAGGAGATAATTTGACTCATGTGGATTCTGAAAGCAGACAGAAGGTCAGAAACTGCTAGGGCACTCTTTACCAATATATGTGCAGATCCCAACTGGTAAATTTAGCAGGCATTATATAAAGGCTGGCAATCTGTATTTAATAATCATTTCAGAGGATTAGAATGCATCTGATCCATGGAAAATGCAGGAAAGCCACTAGATTAAATGCTTGTCAGACATTAGTGGCATATCTTGTGTTAAAAACAAAAACAAAAAAGGCCTAAATTTATTATGTTTTAAAATGATTATATACATCAGAATATTGAGACAAGATAGGAAATGTTAGTTTCATAGGTCTATAGCTATCAGTCATTGACTACCTACCATTTTTTTTGCCTTTAGAAGATCACAATGGTAATTCACAAAGAACTGCTGGCAGAGATAGGGTAGAGAAGAAAGCGACAAAAAGAAAAAAGTATTTAAGTTTAAAAATGCCAAGTTTTTAAGACTGTTATGAAAATGATATCAGTAATGCAGGAATCAGCAAACATTTGCAGTAAAGGCCCAGAGAGTAAAAGTTTTCAGCTCTGCAGGCCAGATAGTCTCTATGGAACTACTTACCTCTGCCATTGTAGCCACAGACAGTAAGTAAATAAATGAGCATGGCTCCGCCATTGAAAATTTACTCACAGAAGGAAATACAACCTGGATTAGGCTCACAGTCTGTAGTTTGCCAAGTGTTGATATAATGGGGAAAAAAGTATTGTGATAAATTATCAACTTCAAAGTTTCAGTTGCTTTATCAAAAAGTATTTTTTACATATGCAATTGTAATGAGAACAAACTAAAATTAGTATTAAAGAGGAAAAAATTCACACAAAATGTGGTAAGGAGAATTTGCTTTAAGACTTTATCCATGCAAACCTATTTTAATCAGGTAAATGAGACCCAGCTGACCAGGATGGAAATCTTTAGTTAAATGAAAATTTTCTGAAATCTCTGGAAAAAAGAATAAAATTGACAGCTCCACATACTTCATAGAAAATCAGTATGCCCTACAAAAACCTTCAGAACAAAACGCGAAGGGTTTTCAGCATCTGTAAAATGAGCTGAGATGCTTTATCATTAATATAGTTCAGAAAAAACTAGGTAATCTTTCTTACTTCCTTTTTAAAAATCTGTGCCCATCAAGACAAATTAAATGCTTAAAAAGTTACAAGTAATATTTCACACATGTATATACATAAACAGAGTGAGAAAGGAAGAGATATTTACAGAAAAAGGTATACTTGAAAAATAAAGCTTTAAATAGTCTTTCTGAATTTAATGAATACAAGCATCGTGTTAGAAAAAAAAAAAAGTTGCATCGACTGACCAGATGACATACAATATTAATTCTGGTTTAATGAAGAGAAAAAACAACAGTTCATTTTCACAACCATAAAATGTGCTAATTGTTCAAATGAGTCCTCCCGAAACAAAGTTGAAAAAGGCATTATAATTCTGATACCCTTCATATGCCAACAGCTGTAGGCTCAGACATGCCAACTGGTAACGAAACTTCATTTAGAAATATATCACACATGAATATTACATGCACACCCCAGTGTGTCAAGTCATGTAACCTCCAATCTATTTAGCTTCTCCACACAGGAAAATGGAATTGGACTACCTGGTGCTCATCTCTGAGGTTTAGACACTGATAACAAAGATAAACAATATCATTCTTATATCACATAATTTCAACCTTCCTTACCTACTGAAACCAATTATTTGGGTCTAAACCTAAAGTTACAGTAGTCAAAGTTGAAAAGTGAATGAAGTATTACTCAAGAAAAAAAAAAAAAGAAGAAAATATAATCGTCTTCTCTTTTAAAGGATAATGAGCTTGAAATGAAAAGTCTTTGTAAAACTGTTCCTTCTTTAATTATTAAAGTTTTTTTTCTAATATGCAAACAAGAATAAAAAATGTAGGCCAAGCACAGTGGCTCATGCCTGTAAGCCCAGCACTTTGGGAGGCCGAGGTGGGCAGATCACCTAAGGTCAGGAGTTTGAGACCAGTCTGGCCAACATGGTGAAACCCTATCTCTACAAAAATACAAAAACAATTAGCTCTGCATGGTGACGTGCATCTGTAGTCCCAGCTACTTGGGAAGCTGAGGCAGAAGAATCGCTTGAACCTGGGAGGCGGAGGTTGCAGTGAGCCGAGATCGTGCCACTGCACTCCAGCCTGGGCAACAGAGCAAGACTTCATTTCAAAAAAAAAAAAAAAGGAATTAAAAATGTTCACACCACAAAGTTTCCACAGTTGTTCTGGAGATCACATTATTTCACATATATGTGAGATTTCTAATATACATATTAGATATATCAAATACATAATTTGTTATATATATTAAAATGGCAGAAACCAAGATATATATATATTTTTTGAGACGGGGTCTCACTGTATTGCCCAGGCTGGAGTGCAGTGGTGTGATCTCGGCTCACTGCAAGCTCCGCCTCCCGGATTCACGCCATTCTCCTGCCTCAGCCTCCCGAGTAGCTGGGACTACAGGCACCCGCCACCACGCCCAGCTAATTTTTTTGTATTTTTATTACAGACAGGGTTTCACCATGTTAGCCAGGATGGTCTCGATCTCCTGACCTCATGATCTGCCCACCTCAGCCTCCCAAAGTGCTGGGATTACAGGTGTGAGCCACCACGCCCAGCCCAGAACCCAAGATTTTAAGCTTACCAATAATCCAAAATAGAGTAAATATCCTTACTCTTAAGTAGCATTCAAAACTGAGAACATGAGATACATTATGGTTTTTAAGAAAGAACAGAACATAAATATTTTGGGGAGAAGTATCTATAGGTCTCCCACATTTTTTCATGTCTTGCAACCAGATACTGCCAGCCTTTCAAATTATCCTTTCAGGAACATTTGTGTATCAAACAGCCTTAGATAATAGGGACAGTGTTTTCCTCTGGAGAAAAAAAAAAAAAGAGGGTTACAGTCCAGTTCAATAAAGATAATGTCTCCTTCCAGAGCAAGAGTCAGGCAGGTTTACTGTCCATTATAAAAATTCAGGGTCCTTAGGCTTGGGATTCATCTGTAATGCCAGCCACTGCACATGCAGGTGTCTCCTGCCCTTTATACTGTCCTATAGAAACTGAGGGTTGGTGACCTGGCACAAGTGATGACCCCTTGCCTAATGCTGTCCCTCTGTGACTAATAAATGGTTCATTTTCCCCGACCAAATATTCTCCTGTCTTCTGCTAGCCCTGAAAGTATGGCAAAGTAGCTTCAGGCTCTTCGCAGTCCTTGACAATATATTTTTAAAGAAATATGCCTTAAAGCCAAGTTATACCATGTTTAAATGAAGAGTGTCTGTTTATCTCTCAAAAAGAGATATCTGGCTATCTCCTTTGACAATTTAGACTGACTAAACAAACACCGTTTCTCCCTTGCCCTTCTTTACTATGGAGGCTGAAATTTCAAAGTTTCAATATACCGCTACCTTTGTAACCTGGAGTGACCCAGTGGCTTAAATAATATGGAAGAGAATCTGCTAGAGAAGCAAGTAGGTGGTAAGGTACTGGGACAGCTTTGCAATTCAAGATAAGAAGACAGACACGTGTGGAGTTGCCCTTCCCCTTTCCTGCCTTGTGTCCTTAAAAAATGAAGCTGCAACAGGAATTCCACAACTGTGAAGGGAACAGAATGAAGATAAAACCCAACATGCTAAGGAAATGAATTACAATAAGCCAGAAAGAGCCTGGGTCTCTGACAGCATTGTACTGTTAGATGGGTATTGTTACTTTTAGCCAACTTATATACTCAGTCTGTGTTGATGAAACTTACATATAATGCAACTTATATGATGGATTGGTGTTGATAAAATAGTTTTAAAATTTTACTCTCCAAAAATTAGATAGGTACTTTAAGCCAAGGGTTGGCGAAGGACCACCCAATGGTCAAATTTGGTCTGGCTCATTTTTGTAAATAAATTTTTATCAAAATACAGCCATGTCAATTAATTTACAGACTGTCTATGTCTGCTTTCCTAGTACAGAGGCAACGCTGACTAATTGCCAGAGACCATCTGGCAAAGTCTAAACTATTTACTATCTGGCTCTGTACAGTTTGCTGACCCATGGTTTAAACCATTCAACATGCCACTTTCAGAAACAATCATTTACTCTTGTTTAAACTAAAATCCTCAAATTGATTTCCTAAAATTTGAATTGAAATCATGTTTAATACTCCATATTTTAATATTAAAGACAAAATGAATGTGGTGTTTGTTGCCTTCTCTTTGTCACCAACATGGAAAACACTTCCCAATTATTTATTTTCTATGTGCAATAGGGAAAAGTTTATAAACAGATTTAATAAGTTATAATTATTCTAATTAATCCTCCAGAGATTATCACAAAATTAAAGAAAACAGGGATTGTTAAGAAATAACCAGGGCTATTAATATTATAAATGTAAATTAAATGTACATATTTGTATTACTAATAATTTCTAAAGAGAGATGGCACTTTATACATTAAAATCGGTAAGAATGTTAAAAAAAGGTACTTACAAATTCAATTATATCAATAAATACAAAAATGTATTATTGGGAAATGCAGAATATGCCATGTTTTCCAATATATTTATAAAAACTAATGCATAAATTAACCATGCATTACACACCTGAAAAAAACTTATTTCAGCTACAGACCTTTACAAAAAATAATTACAAGTAATTTTGTTTGCTATTATATTCTATTAATCCAAGTTTTTCAAACCTCCATGACATGTTCTAATGGGTTTCAACTTTCTTCCCCTCCTTAGTATAAATGTACACTGCCATATTTGGTCACTGTTAGGGACTGAATGGTGTCCCCTAAAAAGATATGTTTAAATTCTAACCTCAATCCTACCTGTCAATATGACCTTGTTTCAAAATAGCATCTTTGCAGCTGTAATGAAGTCAAGATGGGGTCACAAGGGTAGGCTCTGATCCAAAATCACTGGTGTTTTTGTAAGAGGGAAATTTGGACACACACGTACATACACAGAGAACACTGTGTGATGACAGAGCAGAGAACAGACTTACGCTGCCATAAGCTAAGGAATTCCTGGAGCTACCAGAAACTGAGACAGACAAAGAAATTACCTATTCTAGAGGGTTCTGAGGGGCAAGGCCCTGCTGGCTGACACCCTGATTTCAGATTTCTTGCCTCCAGAAATGTGAGAGAATAAATTTCTCTCGTTTAAGCCACCCAGTATGTGGTACTTCGTTACCGCAGCCCGAAGAAACAAATACAGTCACACATTTGTGATTATATGTGAAAGTGGTATATTATAATCACATGATCAGATGTTCAAAGTAATACATTTCAATAGAACATCTAAATTATCTTTCAGTTTAATTTGTTCTTCAATGTTTCCACTGAACAACAGAGCCTCAATCTCTCTTTATTATTTTAATCTATAAAGGGCACTTTTTGTAATGATCTCATGTGTCTTGCTGTTTACAGCACATCTATGAACCATTGATGTATACATATATCCTCAAACAAAAACTCATGCTCAAACAATAAATCTGAAGAGACAAAAGATTAATATTTTTAAAAGATTTAGAAAACGGAATGGTTATGAAGTACTTCACATCAAAACAATCAGACATGAATACTATTTTACACCCTACCCAATTAGCACTGAATGCTAATCTGTTTGGATTCTTGGAAACTCCACTTCTTTGTTAAATCACTGAAAAACAAGACTCTTCTTGGGCTAGATTCCAAGCACTCTTGAGGCTATAGGATTATCACTGTAGCTTGTCTGTTTTATAAACAAACTTTAATTTAGTTTTGTAAGAAACTGCCAAAGGAGCTTTCTTTAACTAAATAACAACTCTGCCACTTGAAAGACATCATTCATCAACTTTCTTTGTGGGAGTATTGTTATTATGAAACTAAAAGCAGGCATTCTTTCTTGAGTGCTTCTGGATTTTAATTATCAAATTTTAATGTCACCAGATATTTACTGAAAGGAAAACATCAATTTTAATAAGCTACCTAAGACTGAAAAACATAAACGGTATTCCACTGCAAAGCCAAGTTCACTTGAGTCTTGTGAGTTTGCTTAATATATATAATAATTGGTATCATTCTCAGGAATATATAAACATTTAACAAATGCTCATCTGTGGGGGAAAAAAGTCCTCAATTTTAATATCCAAATATCATATGTGCATAATATATAATCTGATTTAGAAGAAATTAAAATACTTGCAATAAGTTTTAGTTACTAAGAAACCAGGAGTTGGGGGCTGAACAGTATTAACATGGGGCTTAGAAAAAAAAAAAAAAACTAAACTAAATAAATGAAATAAATAGCAAATAAATGTATTACAAGTAAGCATTTTATTAAAATTTAAAAAGCTAATGGTGGAATTCATTTTAATTACATCTGAATAATTTCGTTTTCTTTTGTATTTTGTAAAATATACCCTAGAGAGGAAACTGCTATTAAAAAAAAAAAACTTTCACTTTTCATTGAAAAATCAACAAGAAAATTACATTGTATCTAGCTAGCTAAGCAGCAGGGGTGCAGTTAGCCAAATACACAGGGCCATAAAGTCCTTAACAGTCAAAGATTCTGCAAGCTCTCACCTGCCTCCCCTAACAGACTCCCTTTGTTTAACTTTGAAAACATTTGTCTAAATAACTTTCTTGTGGCCTCTACTTTCATGGTGTGTTAAAGAAATGAGCCCCTTCATTTCCAAACTTTAGAAAAGTCTATTCACACCACTCAGATGCTTGAAATATGCATAAAAACATTCTCATCAAGATAAAATAAACTTTTTATTCATTTACAATAAATCAATCTCAGAAGATTTTTCAAGCTTTCTAAAGCAAATTCTACTTCCTATCTGGCAGACATACTTCTACATAAGAGATTGATTACTATTTGTCTTCTGAATCCAAGATAAAAATTATTATTTTGAAGTATCAAAAATTCATATTTTCATTCCTCTAGTTTCCCATTTAAAAGGAAAAAATGCCTTGAATGCAAACAAATATAGAAAAAATGAGTAAATGTATATGTTTATATCAAAATACTTGTGTTCAAAAGAAATTAGTTGCCTATTTTGATTTATTTAGAAATATTTTCTACTTGCAATTGGTCCTTTGTCCTCATCAAATTCAAAATAATTGCAATTTTCACCATTAGTAAACAAAAAAAGGAGAAACAGAAAAACTAGGTTAATTTTTTAAATGTAAAATTATTTTAATGATGAATATAAGCCATTCCCTTTCATGTATCATTACATATTTCATAGATATCCAATATAGTATAATTTATTTATAAAAGACAAACCTTCTTAAGATTCTCTTGCAAATAATTGTTATAATAACAAAAACAATATTTTTACTATAGAAACTACTACTAAAGTTGAAATATTAACAGACTGAGGTAGCAACAGTAGCATTTAGTCTGAAACAACTTAATTTTCATTTGTGACATTGAAATGTCTGAGGTGAAAATGTTATGAATAACCAGAAAATAATTTAATAACTGAAAAAATGTAAATTGGAGTCAGGAAGCCAACCAAAGTTACAAAGAACACTGGGAGAAGAAATGGCATCAGAGCATGAGATTTCCTGGCTCCACATTCCTGTACTTAGTTAAACAGCACTTTTTTCATTTTCTTCTCACAATATACAGAACTATGAGAAAATGTGGTAATTGATGTAGCATTATAAACATGCCCATTAAACTGTGAGGTCCAGTAACTATTAAAACTACCACTTAAAGCACAAATTACACATACAGATCAATCTCTTTATATGGTAAACTGAAAACCTGTGAGGACTTGCAAAACTATTTCAATGACCATGCTATCAACATTTGTATAAATATAAATTTAAGCATTTAAATTAATACTACTGTATTCTTTACTCAAAGCAATGATGTCATACAGTAACATAAGGAAAGAAAGTAGGTTTGTTTGCAGCTTTTGTTTTGTTGTTGCTCTTGTTATTATTGTGGCTGCTGTTGCTTTTGATTCAACTTTTAACCATGTATCTTCAACGTACCAATTGCAAAATGTTTTTTGGTACACTATCTTGTAAATAACCAACACAAGTAGAAACAGCAAGCATAGTGATCTGTAGTCCTTTAAGGGGAAAGGCACTTTATTAATGGAGCAGATTACAAATTATTCTTTGTTTAGCCAAACAGTCAATGGAGAAAAATATTTCTGCCGGATGCTCCTGAAGCCTTTTAAATACAGGCTAGCTTCTTCTAGAGCTAATTTTTCTATGTCAAATACTTTTTTTAACTACAGAACATGTAACCCTCCACCACACACACACACACACACACACACACACACACACACCCCATTTTGTCATTTATTTTTTCTACAACACTGGTTATTAAGGCATGATTCAAAGGCTCTGAAATGACATTAATGTTAATGTTAAGGCAACATCTATGTTTTCCTCTCTGGCCAGAGCTTTTGTTAATCTTTATTTTCTTCACAGTCTATCAAAGGCAGAGCTATTTTTTCCACCTCAGTTGACTTTTTTTCCAGTGGTTGTCTAGCAGTGTGTAGGAGGGGAAAATGGGTTGTAGCACCCTGGCTCACTCAAGCAGTTCAAAAATAGGGAAAATCTCAGTATCCTTCGGCCATCATCTGAGTGTTTTAAAAAACACAGTGGCCAACACCAGACCTTGCAGAGCAGCTGATTAATACACACTTTTCAGAAGAAATAAATTTTACTATTAAAATGGTTAACTGATGAAACTGCCAGTAAAATCATAGAAATGCCTCCTATCAATTATACATTTGTTAGCAATGACAACCTTCACATCCATTTTTACTTGCGCCACTAAAACTTTAAGTAATATAATACTTAGAGTTTCTCCTTTTCTCTATGCTTCAAACTACAGACTTCTCCACATGTTCTTTACCTTCTCTCCACACATACACACACATACACATGCAAGCTTTATGCTTGTCAGAAATCACTGAATTACTCTTCCCAGAAATGTCAGCTCAGAATGGTTTAGACACCCAGCTGGAGTAGCACCAACTCAGTGTGACATTGAACTGTTTGCAGGAAAAGAGAAAGAAAGAAAAAGAACAAAACAACAGAGCACCAGCAACAACAACAATTTGGGAAAAATGATATAAAAGATGAAGGTTTACTGTATCAGTCGGGGGAGGCATGCAGCCTGCTCATGCCTTTTCTCTACTAGAAATCATTATCTACTCTCAAGGCAAAAGACTTTCACTGTGCCCTAAATATCTACTTCAGTAGCATATACAATTATGTGACTATAATTTCTACCTCTCTCCTTCTACACAGGACCTAAGTAACTAGGAAATGTATTGAATGCCATTTACTTCTTTATCTTTCTATTTATTACATTTATGTAAAATTGCTTTAAAATTCGGGCTACTCATTCATCATTAACAATCAACTAAAATTTTAAAAAGCAATCAGTTCAGAATTGACACCTAAATTTTTTCTCATCTCCCCTTAAATGTATAACAATCCGCATTTATTGTTGACACAACAGAGGTGCAGGAACATTAAAATATGCATTTTGATTCATGTACTCATCCAGCACAATTTCTTCAATAAAGCGGGCAGAATCACATGAAGTAATACTGATTAAGTCAATTAACTCCAAATTACTGTTTCTACTATTACTGTCCTTCATTTTTAGCTCAATTATAGTAATGTCCCTAGTGAGCTACTTACAGAATCAAAGAAACAATTCTGTAGTGAATTTATAATATTCCCAGTAACCAGCGTTGTCATACCGATTAGGTGGAGTCATTCTACTAAACCATATACTTTGTTGCCTAACTACCTTTGATTGTTTTGCTTATGTAGAAACATTTCATGGGAGACTTTTAGGTTCTGATTGGTAATGTACAGATTTTCATAGATCAATAGATCTCATAATGCTGACTATTCAGAATGAGGCCACTCTGTAAATGAAAACATGCTAAGAAGACTCTTCTGTGTTCTGTAGAGCAAAATGCCTCAGAGCTCCATGTGCAATGGCACATTTTAGACTCAGTTTGCATTTGGAATCCTAAGGGAACCTAGAAGTGAATGTGTCCAAATATATTACTAGAAAAAGAAACACAGTTCGAAAGTTTATGTGCCTGTTATGGTGTACCAAGAATGGTACATTATTATGAATTGTTATGAAACATTTATCAAATGTAAATTCTGCATAAACACAGCTGGCCACAGAACATTGTCAGTAAACAGAACAAGGATAACAGTAATATCCAATTAAGGATATGCTATATCAGCATAGAAACCAATAAATTTTGTCTTAGGGTTGCATTTAGGACAGTGAACAAAATTCACTTGGACACTTAAAATGCAGGCAAGAATACACAGAATGAGTGACCTCATTGTGAATAGTCAGCATTATGAGAGCTATCAAAATCTATGGGAATCTATACATTATCAAACAAAACTTAAATGTCTCCCATGAAATGTTTCCACATAAGCAAAACTATCAAAATTATCAAATGGAAATTATAAAACATCTACTGAGTTAGAAAATGTTTCAAGTTTCCACAGAAGATGTAAAAGTGGGATACAAGTTTACCACATCATATATGATTACATCCAATTAAAACACTGTATCCACTCAAATTCCTAGTCAAAGGAGTTATATGCCTTGTCAATGTACTGATACCCTAAAGAGTAAAATTTAATGGATGACTTGGCTGGATCAGGAAGAATTTCAAAACTACTAAATTTGAAAAAAGAATTATAAAGACATTTGTAAAGAACTTAGTTTTATTAGGTCAATGGCAGAAATACAATGTGAAAAATAAAAATTTAACATAAATATCTGACTTCCCAAGATGTTAGCACTTCTTGAAAAGTGTACAAGAATAAACAATCACTATAATATTTCTCTACCTTACTTCTGTCACACTGTGGCAACTCAAATTCCTCTTGTTATTCCTGGAGAATTTTAAAGCATTAATTAATGCTAAAAGGCAACAGGAAGATTCACCACCCTCAAGATGAATAAACTGTGGCCCAAGAATATTAAGTGACGAGCCCAAAGTTACATAATTGGTTAGACGTCTACGAGTATGTTTGGGTTCATCTCTAATTGAGAGAGAAAATTATAAATTATAAATATATAATTATGCCATTTTACACCTGGAAGAGGGTTTTTTATGTTTGAATTTGATGGTTTTACTTGTTATGGGTATTTGGCCAGTATTCATAGAAAATTTAGAGTTCACATACCTCCATAACTGAATTTTCTATTTTACAACCCTATGAGGCCAGTTTTTCTGACCTGAAAGAAATATTAGAGGTTTCTTAAAGGTTTTCCTATGTCAGAAAACTAAATACAGAGAGGTTAAGAGTCTCACACTAAAATTTAACTAACATGTTAAGACACTATATATTTTCATTAATATTGGTTTTCCAATTTGGAAATCTAAATAAACTATCACTATCATGAATATTCCATATATATTTAAAATAGCCCAGAAATGGAAAACTCTATCATTTTCCTTATTTTGTTTAAGATAGATCCTGAAATTTAACATTAGAATGGCCAAACAATAAACTTGAATGAGGATATCTAAATGAAGAATCCTGGCTATAAAATTAGGATTTGGTTGATGTCAATTCAGTCTTTGCCAGCCCAGTTCAGTTTCTCACTTAAGTCAAAATACACAGATGGAAGTTACATCTCCCACCCACATCTACCACATCCGCAGATTCAATCAAACTATGTCTTTAAAACACTTGTCTCCAATACCAAATTCTGGTGTGGATGTGGAGCACCAAGAACTGTCATTCGTTGCTGGTGGGAATGAAAAAGGGTAGAGCCACTTTGGAACCAGTCAAGGGGTTTCTTACAAACTTTCTTGAAAGTTTCTTATGTGCTTTCTAAACTTATGCATACCCTGAAAATCTAGCAATCTTGCTAGGTATTTTACCCAAATGAGTTAAAAGCCTAAATCCACATGAATACCTACACACAAATATTTATTGCAACTTTATACATGATTACCCAAAAAATGGAAGCAACCGAGATGTACTTCAAGGTGTGAGTGAAAAACCAAACTGTGATGCAACCACACAATGGAGTATTATTCAGTGGCATAAAGAAATGAGCTACCAAGTTATGAAAAGACATGGAGGAACCTAAAATGCAAATTGTTAGGTGACAGAAGCCAATCTGAAAAAGTTACATATTGTGTGAGTCCAACTATGTAACACTGTGGAGAAGGCAAAACTGCACAGACAGTAAAAAGATCAGCGGTTGCCATGGGTTCAGGGGGGGAAGTGAGACAGTAAGTAGATCACGGGGCATTTTTAGGGCAGTGAAACAATTCTATATAACACTGTAATGGTGGATATATTACATTATGCATTTATGGAGCATAGAACAGCACAACACAAAAAGTGGACCCTAATGTAAACTCTAGGCTTTAGTTAATAATAATGTATCAACAATAGTTTATCAACTATAACACACTACACCAATGCAAGATGTGAACAGGAGAAACTGCTTGGGCAGAGGAGATTTATGGGAACTGTAATTTCTGAATAATTTTCCTGTAAACCTAAAATGACTCTGAAAATGAAGTCTATTAAAACATTGAGAATACTGTCTCATGAACTAGCTACTATCATAAGTAAATTCACATAAAGCTATTAATGTTAAAAGCAAATACAGTCATGAACCCCGTAATGACATTTCAGTCAAGGACATTTCAGTTAATGACAGACTGCATTTATGTTAGTGCTTTCATAAGATTATAATGGAACTGAAAAATTCCTATCACCTAGTGATGTCATAGTCATCACAAGGTCATAGTGCAACATATTACATGTTTGTGGTGATGCTGGTGTAAACAAATCTACTGTGCCACCAGTCACATAAAAGCATAGCACATACAATTATGCATAACACATACTTGATAATGATATTATAATAAGTGACTATATTACTAGTTGATGTATTTACTATACTATAAACTTTTTAACATTATTTTATAGGGTATTCCTTCTACTTATTAAAAAACAGCTAACAGTAAAAGGGCCTCAGGCAGGCCCTTCAGGAGGTATTCCTGAAGGCACTATTATCACAGATGATAGCTCCATGCATGTTATTGCTCCATGCTAAAATGCAAATTGTTAGGTGAAAGAAGCCAATCTGAAAAAGTTACATATTGTGTGACCTTCCAGTGGAATAAGATGTGGAGGTGGAAGACAATAATATTGATGATCCTGACACTGTGCAGGCCTAGGCTAATGTGTGTGTTTGTGTCTTAGTTTTTAAAAAGTTTATAAAATTTTTTTTAAAACTTAATTTTTTAACATTTTTTAAAGCTTATAGGGTAATATAGAAAGAAAATATTTTTGTTAAGCTAATTGTTAATACCAGAGTCAAAAAGTTAAAAAAAATTAAAAGTTTATCAAGTTTAAATGTGACAGTAGGCTGTTCATATTGGAAAAGAAATTTTTTTTATAAATTTAGTGTAGCCTAAGTGTACAATGTTTCTGAAGTCTGCAGTAGTGTACAGTAACAGTCCTAGGCCTTCACATTCACTCACCGTTCACTCACTCACTTCCAGTCTGGCAAGCTCCATGCATGTTATACAGGTTATTACAGGTTATCCATTTTTATCTTTTATACAGTATTTTTTTTTTTGTCCAGGCTGGAGTGCAATGGCACAATCTCAGCTCACCACAACCTCCACCTCCTGGGTTCAAGCGATTCTCCTGCCTCAGCCTCCCGAGTAGCTGGGATTACAGGCGTGTGCCACCACGCCGGGCTAATTTTGTATTTTTAGTAGAGACAGGGTTTCTCCATGTTGGTCAGGCTGGTCTCGAACTCCCGACCTCAAGTGATCCGCCCACCTCAGCCTCTCAAAGTGCTGGGATTACAGGCATGACCCACCACGCCCGGCCTTTTATACAGTATTTTTACCATACCTTTTCTATGTTTAGGTATATTTAGATACACACATACTTACCATTGTGTTACAACTGCCCACAGTATTCAGTACAGTAACATACTGTATAGATTTGCAGCCTAGGAGCAATAGGCTACATCATACAGCCTAGGTGTGCGGTAGGTAATACCATCTAGCTCTGTGTAAGTACACTCTATCATGTCCACACAACAATGAAATTGTCTAAAAATGCATTTCTTGTAAAGTATCCCCATCGTTAAGTACCACATGACTATATACAAAGCGACTCACATTTACCCCAAAACAATTACATGGTGACGTTTAGGTTAACTATTAAGTAAAAAGCAACATAAATGACCTTTACACCAAAACATCTGAAATATTCTTCTTACCTGTCCTGTGACTGTTCTTCATACATTCTCTCCTTGCCTTCTTTAAAGAGTCTTATTGCCCGTTTTGACTTTTTCATAAGGCTATCAATGTAGATTTTAAAGTACTCATTCTCACTGAGTTGGGCAAGTTTCTGGTTGTCATCATATTTACTCAATATAAGTCGTAAATGCTGATATGTATCAGGCAAAATATCAAGTATATATGGTGGGCTATTTTTCAACTGAAGTTTGGGATTTTGGCACAGTCTTACCTAAAAACAAAGATAAAAATAAAATAAGTCATAATATTTTATTTCACAGAAAAATTAAAAAGTTAGAGAACCATGTCCTATTTCTTCATTTTTCCATAATATAAATAATGATCTTAACTTACTATCTCCAATTTATTAACTGATAGTCACGTTTGTCATAATATAAATAAATCCTATTCTGTTCTCCTACCATTCAATCTTTTCTATATCATATCCTTATTTTGAACCTCTAAAGTTTAATTCTAAGATACCTCATTGTGCATAGCTTAAAAGAACTCCAGTATGCTAATCACTGTATATCACTGATAGTCTTTTTTTTTAAATAAAAATGAGGAAATGGGCCTTCTCTGTTGACAACCAATGTCTCACATTTATATGTTATTTTACTACACTGAATTCCCAGCTGTTGCTGTCTCATAGTTTGTTAATTAGCGTTTTGGTGTACTGTTCTGAACCCCGAGGACAATAAAACAAAGAGGTGCAATTTGAATAACTGAGTTATTAAGTAGTAAATGTGTGTCAGGTCAGAACCAGTCTTTTCCACCTCCCCATACTGTCTACCACGCCTATAAACATGTGGCATATAACGGTTCAGTCATCCCATCACAGGTGCTGCCCAACCACTGGGGCGTTCAGGGGCTGCCTGCAGAACTGAAAGTACCTTCTGCCGGCCAGAGAAGGTAGTAATCCAACTAATGTATTCACTTCTACATGTTCATGTGATTTAGCCAAGAGTAAGTTAGTCCACCACATTCTTATCCCTCCAGAAAGGGCATAATCAACTCTTTACATAAATAACTTTCAAATGAAATAATTGAGAATTGCACAGTAGCATTATATAGTGTAATGGGACAGCACTCTTACAAAAGGTTAAATGTTCACATAAAGATCATAAAGATACATGGCTCTCTTCTAAGGCCCTCGTTGTATTTTTTTTTTTTGTCAAATTGTCAAGAGTATATCTTATTTTATTTTATTGTTTTTTTAAGACGGAGTCTCATTCTGTCACCCAGGCTGGAGTGTAGTGACACGATCTCAGCTCACTGCAACCTCTGCCTCCCGGGTTCAAGTGATTCTCCTGCCTCAGCCTCCCAAGTAGCTGGGATTACAGGTGCCTGCCACCGCACCTGGCTAATTTTTATATTTTTAGTAGAGACGGGATTTCACCATCTTTGTCAGGCTGGTCTCGAACTCCTGACCTTGTGATCCACCCGCCTCGGCCTCCCAAAGTGCTGGGATTACAGGTGTGCGCCACCGTACCCGGCCTAAGAGTATAATATCTTAAACATAATTGGCTAAAGCCTCCTGTTGGGTGGCACTGGAGTGGCTGTGGGTATTTTTGGAATCTGGCTAATGGAAATTTGAATTGAAGACACATTTACTTTGGGTTTAATGGAAGGTATATGTGAGGCATACAGTCACTCCTGTAAAATGGTTTAATTACTGTCAGCAATCCCAATGAAACTGAAATAAGGCAGGCAAAGAAAGAATATACTATTAATATATGATCTCATTTTCACATGCAAAATCTTAAAAGAAGGAGTTAAGCAACAAAGAAACAGAGAGTAGAACAGTGGGTGGGCCCCAGGGATGGGGAGGGGAAGAAATGGAGAGAAGAAGGTCAAAGAGTACAAATTTGAAGTTATGTAGGATAATTAATACTGGAGATCTAATGTACAGCATGAGGCCTATAGCTAATAATACTGTATTCTGAAAATTTGCTAAGAGAACAGAGTTTAAATGGTCTTACCACAGAAAGGTAATTATGGAAGGTGAAGGATATGTTAATTTATTTGATGTAGTAACCATTTCACTATGTGTATATATATCAAAGCATCATGTTATACACCTTAAATAAATACAATATTTTTTAAATCTGTAATAGAACTTTTTTTAAAAGATGGTTTTAGAAATACCTGAGGTGCCCACAATGCTGACTAGCCTACCATGGGAACAGTGAAATCCAATTCAAATCTGGCAATTTGAATGTGTTTCATGACACCCAAAACTGGAAGTATATGCGGTAACGGAAGATAATCAAAGTATAAAATGTACAGAGCCAAAAACTAGTCTAGATTATTTCTCTAATCACTTGTAGATATACCGGCTTTTTAAAAACTATAGTGCTTTGTGGATTTTTCTCATTCTAAAAAAAATTCACTTTCATAAACAATTTGATGTTTGTACTTTCGTATTCTTTATATTTAGAAAGATTCTTTCAAATCATATAAGTTTCAGGGGACATAAAACATGGATCTGCCTCTGGGCACCCATAAAAGTGCCTGGGACAAATAAACAATCGAACTATAATAACTTCAAGCATAACGAACACAATAAATCAAGGAACTAACAAATTTAAAGGGTACTCTTATACACACTATCACACTTACTTTCTTAAAGAAATTGGCCAGGCGCAGTGGCTCACACCTGTAACCCCAGCACTTTGGGAGGCCGAGACAGGCAGATCATGAGGTCAGGAGTTCGAGACCAGCCTGGCCAACATGGTGAAACCCTGTCTCTACTAAAAATACAAAAAGTAGCTGGGTGTGGTGGCAGGTGCCTGTAATCCCAGCTACTAAGGAGGCTGAGGCAGGAGAATCACTTGAACCCGGGAGGCAGAGGTTGCAGTGAGCTGAGATCACATCACTGCACTCAGCCTGGACAAGAAAGCAAGACTCCATCTCAAAAAAAAAAAAAAAAAAAAGAAAAGGAAAAAAAAAAGAAATCACTGGGGATCAGGGTTTTTTTCAGAGGGAGTAGATGGAGAGAAAAATCTGGTTCAAATTTCCAACCATCAGCCTCTAATTTAAGATGTTTTTCACATTAACCCAGGGCATGATCTTATATTCTTCCTCTTTGTAAACAATGCCTTAAAGCAGAATTGCTGAGTACATAACCAACAAATTAATGGATTGGTTGACTGCTATTTTTTTTTCACAAATAGTTTGATTGTATTATTTCCTTTATTTTTACAATTGAACTCTAAAGTATCAAGTATTCAAATTAATAATCCAAAGGTATAGGCTTAGTTAAAAAGTAATAATAGTATTTTTATCTCCAAGAAAGTCCTTGGAAAGGTAAGATGTCATCTCATTTACTAAATAACAGCAAATCTTTACAAAGTATAGTGAAAATGGCTGACAGAGCTTTTTTTACCCCCTTTTTAATACGTGATACGTTAGTATAATCAGAGTTCATTCTGCCCTAAAGATTAAGTCCCAAATATGCCAATTATTTAACAAATCCTGCTTGAAAAAGAATATGGTTTTTAAATTATTTAAACCAAAAATACTATCACAAGTATACATAAATACCAAGAATATTGCCACCAACATTCTACAGCAGGCATAGTTTAATGTCAGCAACATAAAACTTGGTGTAACATGTCACAGACTGATACATTATTTTCTTCTAGTTTGGGGACCAGGTAGCTTCAAATTCATTTCCTCTACTAGAGAACTTTTTAACTGATACATACAAAATTTCTGTCAGGTATTTTTTTTCCAGACATTCCACATAAATATTCTTTGACAGAAACGTTTATGTTTTACAAATATTTAATTCACTATTCTTTATCTGAACTTTTTTCTCATTTGCTTTATTTAAAACTGTAATTCCATGTGGGAATTTATTGCTTTATCAGGTGGAAATTGCTTGAACTACTATATGCCAGGTACTGAGCTTAGAGCTAGGAAATTATAGATGACTAGAACATACTTCCTGATTCAAAGAGATGCAAAGAGTCTGGCAGAAGAGACGTAGTTCTCTATAATTAACTTAAGAGCAATGTAATTCTTGCTCTAAGGGATCTTAGTAAAGATTCCACCCAATCCATTCATTTCCAGATTTAAAAAAACTAAGAACTAGAAAGATTAAGGGACCATTAAAATATCATTAATCCAATACAAGAGCTTGTATCTTCTGAATCTCGGGCTGATCTTTCTAACTGTATCACAATTTAATTAAAATTAGGCATATAATTAATGATCCCTGCTAAACTCATTTACATTTTTATTTTATTCCATTTGCAAATTTACGTAAACTTCAGGACCCATTTGTTAATTCAACAAACATTTATGTGGCAGGCATTGTTTCAGGCTCTAGGGAACACAGAAAGGAATAAATCACACACCTGCCCTCAAGCAGCTGCCTAGTGGGAAAGACTGGTGGCTTAGGAAAAGAATTACAGGAGAATTTAGTGCTATGATGGAGGCAAGTACAAACTGCTACAGGAGAAAAGCAGCAGCTCACTCATCTCCACATAAGAGTGTCAGGAAATACATACTTAAATTTGCCAAAAGGAGTATTCTAGGCAAAGGAGTGTGCTAAGGCTTAAGAGACACCAGAGAGCAAGCATGTTAAGAGAGAAGTAAATGCAGTTATTCTAAAAGATCAGAGCATAGGAAGGAAGGCTGTGAGTGAGTAGTACGAGAGATCTGAAATAGGCCAGAGTCAGTTCATCAAGGCCCTGTAGGCTAAACTGTTTTCTAAATTTGCACTTGGGAAAGTGCAACATACAATGCTGAACTACGGTATGCCACTGGGTGCGCAGTTCATCAGTTGGATTACTATTAAACCCTGTGATTTATGACAGCTTCTGCCAAAAATGAATAACCCTACATCAGGACTATGACTTCTAAGCAGGTCAAATTCAATTCCATTCAATAAATATTTATTGAATACCTGCTATGTGCAAGGAGCTGCAAAAGCCAGGAAAGAAAAATTGCTTTTCTAAAGGCAGTATATTAGAGAGAAAATCAAGCTCACCACCAGGGTCAAGTTCAGATTCAAATGGTTACACCTCTTCTAGAAATACCTAAATTGCTTCCTAGAATGAAGCTTGGTACTAACACAGAAGAGCTTTGACAAAGAACAAATCTGTAGTCACATTATAAAATGATGAACTTTGTAGGGCACCGATTGGTGCATAAAAGAATTGGTTCAATAGCAATATTGCTCTTTTCTGTTGAACTAAAAGGCAAAACATTTATTATTGGAATTAGGCTGAAAATTCCACTATAGCCATTGACTCAAAAAATTTGGAAATTACCAGGACCAATTCCTTTTGACGTGTCAATATTGAAATACAGAACTAGAACCTAACTAAGGTTACTGCTCAGAACCCTGATAGCTGGACTTGAGAATCAGGAACTGTCTCCATACCAATATACAACTGAGTTTTGTATTTGCTTAAATGTATTAGAAATATTTAAGGAGACTCTCTCTGTACATGCATTGTTTCACATGAATAAAAATATATTATTAATATATTGGCTATGCATTCCAATACATAAATATGTATTTAGATACATATATTCAACCATATCAAAGCAAAAGCACAAATACAAAAACAGGATTTACTAATGCTATAAGAATTTTCAAAGTCATTACTTATTCTTGGAATAATCTTGCATTTAAAGAGTTTTCTGACTGCGCCTTAATTAAAACTTCCAGCCAAAAGGTAATAAAAATGTATTAGATCAGATAGTACATTCCTTGCAAACAAGGTTCAAACCAGCCTGTGAAACATAGGAAAGAACTCTTACCAAATAAAATGAAAATTTCAACAGTAAGGAATTGTGCCTATACTATAAGACTTTCATTATAAAACACGCCTCACTTCATGGAGCATTCAGTTACACTGAATCAAGTCATATACTCTCAAGTGAACTGCCTCATTCTTAAAAACAATATAGAAAGCCCTGGGCTAGGCGCGGTGGCTCACGCCTGTAATCCCAGCACTTTGGGAGGCCGAGGCGAGCGGATCACGAGGTCAGGAGATCGAGAACATCTTGGCTAACACGGTGAAACCCTGTTTCTACTAAAAATACAAAAACAAAATTAGCAGGGTGTGGTGGCAGGCGCCTGTAGTCCCAGGAACTTGGGAGGCTGAGGCAGGAGAATGGCGTGAACCCAGGAGACGGAGCTTGCAGTGAGCCGAGATCGTGCCACTGCACTCCAGCACTCCAACCTGGGCCACAGAGTGAGACTCCGTGTCAAAAAAAAAAAAAAAAAAAAGAAAGCCCTGTCCTCCTCCTATAAATGTTAGAAGAGGTTTCTTATTACAGTGACCTAAAGTATATATATATCTCTCTCTTTATAATAACAGGTACCGAAGAGTTCTTTGGGTTCTTTCCATTTTAATGCAGCAAATAATTACTAAATATAAAAATTATAAAAATGTATTTTACTAAGTATAAAAATGTACAGTGTAAAAAAGTATAAAAATACACTTTTTTAATAGATTATTAATTGGGCAAAACAAAGTTGGCATATAAAATTGATCATGAGTCCAGCACAGCTGAATTTACAGAAAATTACCAAGACCTTTATGGTTTTCCACGAAGATGTCTTCAGAAGATTGACATTAAGAAGCACCATTAAAGAACTGACTAGTTGTAATTAAAATATCAATTGTGTATTCTGTTCACTCTCTTTCTTCCAAATGAGAATGGAACTTCCTTGAAAGTGAAGAACAGTCTTTCTCATTGGTCTCTCTCTATCACCTAATATGGAACTTTGCATATAGTAGATGTGCAACAAATATTTGATGGCAGAAAGGAGGAAGAGGAGGAGGAAGCAAACAAGGTAAGGACGAACCTCTCAGGAAAATTATATTACAAATAGCATATCCACAACTACATTGAATAAAGCTGCCTAAAAATGAGTACAAAGTTTGGAGAAGAATTTGATAATATCAAATATGGAAGTGGAGGAGGGGAAATGCCCTTTTGATTTACTTCCTTTGGAAAAAGGAAGCATCATATTATTCCATGGAGCAGTGTGCTTCACTCTTCATACTGTGAACACAGACATTAGAATCAAGCAAACCTAGGATCTGGCCCTAACATTTACTAGCTTTACAACCTTGGGCAGGGTTCTTCTTCGGGAAACCTCTTAGGATATTATAATTCTTACAAGAGGAAATGTAAAGTGCTATGCACTGTGTCCAGAACATAGTTAGCCCTATCTCCTTCTTAATATTTCTTCTCCCTTCCATATTTTACATTCCATCACAAGGCAAAATCCCTGCAGATTTTGCAAAGGTATGAAAATTAGACCAAGGGCACTGAACAGTTTGTTGAGGATCATGATTTTTAGAAGCTCTTTTAGCTCATAAAGTTACTCATGCTGCCTAAAACCCTTAAAAAGCCTGGAATGTTCTGTGCAGAAAAGCAGGAAATAAGGCTAAGCCCAGGTCAGTGTTCCTGTCAGCTGACATGGAATCCTCTGGTTTCTTCAAACCCAAGAGGCTCTCAGGAAAAGACGTAGGGCTTTAATATTTTTTTAAATCTTTTAACAGGTAGAATATTATAACTATTAATACTTTTTTCATTGATACTGTAAGATAATATAAGCTCAACAATCATCTAAATGTAACTATGTTAAAAACCTATAAAATGTGTTGGATATTTTCAAAATGTGTCTTTCATTACTTGAAAAAAATTAGCAACCTACAAATACTTAAAAACAAAAAAAACCTTTAGTAAAATTGTAATAATATTATTAATATATGCCCAAGCAGAGTAGATAAAAATAGCACTGTGGCATCCTCTAAGTCACAGCAAGTGTATAATAAGATAAACTTAATATTAAAGATGAGAATTGATTTCCATTTTAATTTTTTACTTATTTACCCACTTAAATGCTAGAAGACTAGTTAAAATACATATATTGCATATTTCATGATATAAAAATTAAAAACATGGTTTAAACATTATAAATATTATGCCTTAAATCACTTCCTGACAACCCAATATAAAATTTACAAATTCCCTCAAAACTTCTCTGTATATTCCCTTGCTTTCCTCCTGTGTAAGTGGAAGTTACATTTATTCGCCAAGATTAACCCTTCTACTTGTTCCTACTCTTTCCCTCCCACAGTTTAATCTAGAATGCTACTGCTTCAACTATTTCTTTTTCCCTTGCATCTTAGGCCATTCCCTAACTACATCCTTTCCCATCAATCTTTTTTTTTTCCCACCAATCTTTGAACCTCTCCTATGGTGTGTGCACACATACACACACACACACACACACACATACATACACACACACACACACAGAGTTATTTCAATGATGTTCAAATCCTCAAGCTAACAGAACTCCCTTCCTTTTCATTGTTGTTACAGTTCTAGAACAATTTTTAAATAATCCACATACTCATTTTAATCTCACCCCATCACATAAGTTAAACTGCTCCACAAAGGTCAATAATGGCCTCTAATCATACAATTCAATGACTTCTTAATTTTTCACCCTGTTTGGTTTTCTCTACTTGAATCTGAACTTAGTTTTATCAGAACTTCAGATTTTATCTTCTTCTTAAAGCTGTTTGTACCTAGGATGTCATTATGGTTTAATTCTACCTTTCTCATCACTAATCTATGTAGGATTCTCTTTCCTTCTCTGGTATTTAATTACACCCCTCAATCTCCCCAGAATTCAATTATCTGACTTTTTCTCTGCATTGCTCCCTCTATTCTTCCTCCGAAATCTCTGACAGTTATATAGCTTGAAATGCTATCTCTATGAGAATATCTACCAAATATGTGTCTCTTGTTTCTACTTCTCTCTTGAACTGTACACTTAATTTTCTGATTTTAAATGAAATTCACTCTGGTACACTGAACTTAGCATGGCCAAAAACTAACCCGCACACTTCCTCTTTTCCTTCTTACGTTCCTTACCTCATTAAGTGCATCACTGCCTTCGGAGTCAACTAGGCTGAAAACCTCAAGAGTCACTTTCACTGCACCTTCTCTTTCATCCTCTAATTCTAAGGGGTCACCAAGACCTGTAGATTTTACCTCCAAAATGCCTCCCACATCTGAACCAACACTTGCTACACCTACTTCCAAGTATCTAGGCCAGCATTTCATTATTTCTTGCCCAGACTGTTTTAATTCCTCTTGATCATTACTCTTGCTTTCAGTTTTTTTCTCTTAATTCAAGCTTTACAGAGTCAAGTAAGTATTCTATCAAAGCACAGCCCTGAAGTTTTCCCTCCCTGATTAACAGCCTTCAATGGTTTTCTACCAAATAAATTAAGACAAAATTATTTGACAAAAGCAATCAAAACCTCTATCATCTTACCCTAACTTCCCCTCTCTTACTCAACAATCTATCATTCCTTCAACCTAACATGTCCTCCATCTCACTGGACTCCAACCCATGAGCTGGCCAGCACCTCCTCCATGCTTCATTCTACACCAACTTTTCACCCTTAGCAAGCAACGGTTCACCTCTACCACGTACTACATCTCAGCACTTTATTTATACTACCTTAAAGCACTTACTACATTTTACTCTATGGCATAGCTATTTGGAAATGTCTGTCTTTCCATAGTTGAGATTTGATAAATGAATGATGAAATCAACAGATAGCACATAAAGCACCTTCTAAAAAGAAGAAAGAAATAGATTCAAAATCTCAATGCTAAAAATTCTGTAATATTTAAAAGACTACTAACTGATTAAGGCCTGCATTATATGAATGCCTTATATCACAGGGATAAACCAAGGTAAGTCTTCATATGATTCCTTTAAATCTTTCACTTTATCAATAGCTTTTCTAAGAAGTCATGTACCAAACTTTGGGATCACTTCATTTATCACAACACAAATTCAAAACTGAACTGAGTACTAAACAAAACTGTCCAGACAATTTGTTATTATCCCCTAACCAAGTCTACCACAACCCATGATTCTGCTAAGGTGGAACAACTTCAGTGAGGAAAAGGAAATACGTCAAGAAGTATAATTCAAATGAATGATATCCCTGGTTTTAAGGCTCTAGGAATGTAAGAGTCTCCAACTTAGTAAACACAAACAACAGGCATCTAAAACCTGTCTTAGTCCACATGGAATATCTTTCAGAGATATGAGGAACTCAGCTTAGAAAAGAAAGTTGACTTGTATTCTTTAAAATATTTATATATAATCCAAGCATCCTTGATTGACAAACTTTAAAATATATTATGATCACAATTAAATTAAAAGGAGTGTAAATTATATTTCAAGCTTGAAAAATGTACTAAATAGACTGAGGGCAAAAGGCAGGAAAAGCCTACTGGGCATCATCACTTCCTAAATGCTTTTTAAATTCTTTTGGTAATGTAATTTAAAATAAATGACGAGGACAGCAAAACAAAAATTTGAGGCAGGTACTCAGAGTGCTTTGCTCTTCAGCATCAATTAATTATTTTCTAATTTCCTAAGCATCCATGTATGCTCAGTACATTTAGTATCTATTAGATGGAAAATTGTTTCTTCTATTTTCCATCACCTGGCTAAGATTCTTATGAAAACCATGCTCAGGAACCTCACATTAATAAATTATCATTCCAACCATACTGATTAGTAATCATTTCCTTACTCTCACCTCAGCATTTCCAACAAGAACACAATAATGCTGTTCCTAAAAGGCAATGGCCAGCAGAATCCAGACAGAAAACTGTCTCAACACTGGCCAGAAAAACAAGGAGGATGTTCTCTACTCTGTTCCCACTGTACTTGGGGTTTGTAATATAGCCCTTTCCATACTACATGGCAATTATCCATTTATGTGTTTGGCTCTGATACTGTTCTCTGAGTTCCTTGACAGGTCAAAGGCGGGATTATGTCTTGTCTAGCTTCATATCCCCAGTAACGAGCACTCAGTGGAAACACAGTAGGCCCTCAAAAAATGTTTATTAAGTGTTTAAGAAACCTTGTCTCTTGAGTAGCTTCAGAACAGACTCCACATTTCATTCTGGCGCACTTGAACCTAGATATGTATTCATGATTAATACTTCTATCACTGTATCAAATAAGCATCCACTGATGTGAGGGCTTCTGGGTCGGCTATCAAATTACACATACACAGAGCTAAGGCCAGAAAATCTGTAATGGGATGTTTTGGGATATGCTACTATCTACTATTCTTTTCCTCAAAACATAGACTATGCTAACTCTGTGCTACTGATTTTCTGTTACAAAACACTCTACATCTTATAAGGAACACAACTGAGCAATTACGCTCTCCTATTCTCAGTGACCTTAGAGCAAAAGCCTGCCCTCTGAAAACAGAACATTAATTGGAAAGAATTTCAATTGACCATTTTAAATTCCAGAGGCCAAGAAATGGTAAAACTACATACTCACTAGATATTTCCCCTACAACCCAAGACTGCTTCATTATTCCCTGTAAAAATAGTTATTTTACTTTATTGGTAGCTGAAACACACTGAAATTGAAGCTTGTGTTCATATTTATACTTCCAAGATCTACCCTTGCAAAGAGGCTTCATAAGAAAAAAATATTAACTATACACTTAACTCTGCCTTTTACATACCTACCAATTAGACTTGAAAATTGCTATTTTCTGTTATTCACAAACTAAATTCATGCTATTGCAGTTATTTTTTTAAAAAGGTAATGTGTCAAGGGATTAACTTCAGAACTAATAATAAAGTTCCTGATGTAATCATCAGGACAATGTTGATATTATGAGCCACTTCCTTCACCACTAACAAATAAGAAAAGATAAACAAAAGAGGGGGATGTTTCTGTACTACACACTTATATACTGCCAATTAGTAATTATCAATGCCTTTCTATTTACTGTATCTTACAGTAAAAATAAACATACTGAATTCTTTCATAATAATTTATGCAATTTCTCTCCACAAAGCCCCTGGGTACATTCACAAATGAACACAACCATTTTCATCTTTGACAAATAATGAAGACAAACAGGCAATGTACATTTGCCAACACCCGCACCCACATCCCACTAAGTAGAGACTTTTGATAATAGATTTCCTTGTTGGGTCAAGTTTCTCAATTGGAGAGACTAAACCTAAACCCACAGAAGGGTTAATAAAATAAACAATAGCAGATGTTTAACTATCAAATAACCATCTATTTTACCATAACTCATGGTGAAATAATTAAAAGTGAATAAAACTTATGTTAACAACCAGTTACAGACCAAAATTGTGTACATCATTTTTAATGTTTCAAAAATAATGATTTTATAGTAACTATAGCTCACCACATCCTTATATAAATCTTTTTGATTTGATGTCCTAACACAAATGTACAAACACTGACCACTCAAAGTTGGAGGGTGGGGGAAAAAGAACAGCCCCTTTATAGAATCTGAACCATTTGCTGTCCACTTACGTAGCAGATAAGTTAGAGAAAAACCTTGAATTCCTTCTCTTACCCCAACTAATGATTTAGGCAGTGAGAGTGACCTTCAAATGCACACTCTTTAGCAAAGACAAGATAGGCAGCATTGTGCTTGACAAATATATGCTATTTTTCCAATTGAATAGTCCTTATTCTAAAGTATCCAATGCTAAAATCAAAACTGAACCCCAAGCAGCAAGTTGCAATATTCTGACACTATGACATCATTCTGTCTGGAGCACTTTAATATAACAATTTGAATAAATTGGCAGAAGCGTAAATAGGTCACACTGAAGCCCAAAACTAAGGCTATTTATCTGGCAAAAATATTCTGGCTCTGCATTTAGCACCATTGCCTGTAGAATGACAGGCCAGTCATTCATCTGTGTGTCCCTTCCATCAGAATAAATGAAAATAATGGAAATCTTGTCACATTCATATGTTGCTACTACTACTGATAGTGGCTTTTATAGCCAATATTTACAGACAGGAGCAAATCAAAGCAAAGATGAATGTTATCACATGATTTCATGGATGCTTTGGCACATCCTTACACAGAAATTTGTTTTTAAAACCTCCATTTCTTCAGTTATAAAGATACTGAGTCTTGCCTCAACTAAACTTATAATTGGCCCCAGATATCTATGAAATAAAGTCATAATGTGTTCCAAACATTTACTAATAAATCCAGGACAGTGCTACTGCTTCAAAAAAAAGAATTATTAATTTTTGCAAAGCAGCAAGCTACATCTTAAATTTATTTTATAATCATACTTAGTAAGGTAGGATACTGACAGCTACAGTTTCTGAGTAAATCTCTGTAAGGTATTCAGATTGACTTCTCTGGATACTGACACCCATCATGATTTCTTCTTGTGAAATTATAGTTTGTCTGAAAGCAACATGCAGAAACCACAGAGGTTTCTGATACTCTCAGCCTCACCACCCCCAACATAAATTTTCCTTTCACAATAAACAATGTGCCATCGAAAGGTTTCCTGTTTCAAAATGGAATAGTAGATGAAAGAAACTGTTAACTCTCCCATTAACAACAAAAAAAGTTTCTTAATGAAGATGAATTCTCAAAGATGAAAATGGAAACTCCCTCAACTACTGCTTCTTCACTTAAGAACTAATCTGTTTCTTTCCCCAGTAAATATTTTCAGTATCATACCAGATGATTGTCATGAGTGGTCAAAGACTTAAATAACCTGCTGGTACTCTTTTGTTATCTAAGAGCAACACAACCTCACAGAAGACAGAACAAACACTTCCAAGCATTCTATGGCCATACACCAACAAAAAGCAGCCAATGGTAAAACTTTACATACTGAGTCATGTAGAGGAACTCTGAACCTTAAAGAGTAGAAAGGATGAAAGGTTAAAAAACAAAAAAGTCTTTGAATCCAACTTTTCAAAAAACACAGAGTTGAAGAAAAATGATGAATTGAAATCAAAAGATTGTTGCCATAACAATGGTTGGTATTAATTAACAGTATAAATAAATCTGGAGAAACCACAGACAAAGTGAATAGTGTTTCGCACAGGCAACGTCAGACAGAACTTACCACTTTGTCCATGAGCTTCCAAGTCTTCTCCACGGTCCTGCGATCTGCGGCAGCTTGCTTAGGGGGTCCAACTGCATCCTGAATAGCATCAATAATACCCAAAATTCGACCTTTTCGGGGATTTCCTCCTCGACCACCAGGGTTTCTGCCATTCATTGAGTTTGCCATCTGGAATTTTAGTTCTTTAAAAGGCAGATTTAAAAAAAGAAAAGTTAGTTGGTTTTGAAAATATTTACCCACCAGAAAACTAGAGACTAACTTGTACCACTGCATCTTCCTCCATCGATTAGAGCAAAACCAAAAGTTCCGGATTCATCTTTATCAATAAGCTTGTGAATTTACACTCTCAATCTTTACACACAGTAGTTTTAAGAGCAGTGATCCTAGATTTGCTTTTACAATACTAAGAGTTAAAGATGCATCCTGCTCACGTTTCAAGTAGCTAAGGCTGAACTAATACTCAACTCATAAAAAAAAAAAAAAGAACAAACAAAACTTAAACAGGTTTCCCCCACCTAGATAAAAACAGAATGTTCTTCCCCTCCTGCCTTAATTCCAATTCAAAATACCAGAACAACTGAAGGTCCTATCATACATTTTGGGAGCCTTACGCAGAAACTTCACTTTCACTCTGTTAGATTTCTCCAAGTTACATAAACATAAAGATTATCCTACACAAACGTAAGGGACAGCTCTGTTGTCAACAAAAGCGCAGGGCATGTCCCACACTAAAACCACCAAGTACGGACACACGAACACCTTTCTTTAAATCAACGCGGTGAGTCGTTATTCCCAAGAACCAAATGAAATTAACACACAAATAGCCCATTTGAAAAGAGAAAAGAGAAAAATGACAAGAGCGGCCACGGAAAGGAGGAGTTCACTTCTCTGGCTCCTCGCCTCTGCCCTCAACCCAAAGCTTTGTTTCAGGACGCCTGTGTCCCTTCCCTGCTCAGGCCCCTTCCCGGCCCCTCGGGTCTGAGCTGCAGGAGGAAGGTGGACTGGGAGGGGACAAAGTGTCCCTCCCGTGCCCGCAGCACCGTCCGTCTAGGGCGCGGGAGGGACACTGTGGGCTCGGCGCCTGGGTGGACGCGCCTCCCGGCCGCCTGCTGCAGTCCTCACCGCCGTCTGCCTGGACGCCCTCTCCCTCCTCCCCGGCCTGCGGGTTCTGGTCTTTAAATGCCCCACTTCAAACTGGACGGCGGCGGCAAAGGCAGCTGAGAGCCAGGGCTGTCCCCTCTTCCTCCTTGGCCCGCGCCTGGCTACCCCGGGCCCCCGGGCCGGCAAGAAGTGTGGAGCCTCCCCGGCGACCCCTTCCCTTCTTGCCTTTCGGCGCCGTAGCTGTCCAGAGACACGCGTGTGCGCGGGTCCCACTCCACACGCACGCAGCCCAGTGTGTGTGGGGAGCCCCGGCTGGGAGTGGGATCGCTGAGAACAGCTCGCTCCCGAAGAAGGAGCAACCCAGCGCGCAGGCCTCCGAGACGTGGAAACGCAACAATTACCGTCAAGACAAATCCACACCCGCTCTCCCCTCCCGCCCGACTCGGGGAGGCCGCGGGACGCCGCAGCAGCACTAGCAGGAGGAGGAGACCGCTCGCTGGACACCCCACCCCTGTGGCACACACAGGACCCAGGCTCGGGGCGGGGCGGGGCGGGGGCGGGGCCGGGCGCCGCTGAGCCAATGCCGCGCAACCGCGCACTGCCCGACAGCGGGTGCAGCCAATGGACGGGAGGCGCCCGTCCTCCTCGCGCTGCCGCCCCGTCCACGTCCTCCACAGTACACAATGGCCCCAGAGGAAGGCCCGCTCGCAGCACGTCAGAAAGGAATTGGACTCGGAGAGAAATGAGGGGCCTGGACTCTCCCGGGAACGAAAGTGGAAACGGGAAAGGAAATGGACGAAGGGATGCAAGGCACGAAGGAGCTAACCAATAAGGGGTGGCAGGTGGGCGTGAGCGTCGGGACCGGGAGCCAAAGCCATCTGGGGCTGAAAGGCGGGACTTCCTGCTTCGCTTACCTTCCTAGTCTTTTGTTTCATAGCAACAGAGTAGTGGCTGGAAGGGTGTTGCTTCTCCGCTCTGGGCGGGTCCAACGCTGGAGAAATTCATCTCCCTAGGGCTGCCAAACCCTTCTACCCAGGACAGCAGCCAAACAGGTCTATGACGTTGCTTCTTGTTGGCTATCAAAAAGAGCAACAGCCACTGAGCTTCTAAAATGCAGAATAAATCTCACAGAGAGTAGGCTGGGGTGACATCTGAATGCCAACTGAAACTTCCCAAGTTTCCGAGTTTCTCTTTTGCTGTTAGTTTTAGAGGGATTGCAGACCAAACATCAGGCTGATGAAAAAGCAAATAGTTGACAACGCTGGCCAAACAGTCTCTGCTAATCATGCCAAAGCAATAAAAGTACCAGATAATGGGAATTGCTGATAAATACCTTGCACCTTTTTACTTAGTGCAAGTTTCTGCCTAAATGACTGAGGAGGAGACAGCTACTGTGTTTTGTCGGAGTCACCTTTACATAGATTTCTATCCATTTAAAAACAACCTTACTGTAGCTGCCATTCTCTACCAGCATTGTTACCTCTTTCTGTGGCTCCCTTCTTTGTGCTCTTAAAAAGGCCGACATCTGGCTAGTCTTTAAAGGAGAAAGCTACTGTGCTGGGACTTGTCTTTCAGCAATATCATAGGTTAAACAAATGCCTTCCATTTATTTCAGTTTACTTCAATCCCACCACTCATGCTACCAACAATTGCTCTGGACTTCATACTTTGGAACTTTCTTTCCACTACAGTTGATAGCGTTTATTACACTTTTCAGCTTGGACATCTCAGATGTTCTGATATTTTACATTGGGTTTTTTGTTTTTGATTTTGTTTTTTCAAATCTTGCTCTAACCACGTAACCTGATAAAATGTTTCTCAATGGTTCTAACCACTTTCTAGCAACTAAGAATTTTAATACTGTAATTATTACTATGAAGGATCCTGAGTTTTCCTTTACAGCCTTGAATTTACATGGTTAAGATTTTAATTTGACGAAAACAGAAAAAAAATGTGCCTTTGCAACCAGTCAGGTGATAAAGTGTGATTCAGGAAGTAATTTTGTTTCCTTGTCATTATTTCTGTGCCAGTAATTAAAGAGTAGTTCCTTGTTTTCACATTGCATTTATCTACAAAAGTGCTGGCCTCTCCATATCTCCTCCACCCATCCATATCTCTTTTACTCATAGTCGTAGTAGCTACATTTACTAAGGGGAGACTGTAAAAGAAAAAAACTGTGTTACCTTTAAAATAAATTTTAAAAGAATTAATGTGTAGAAGCATGTAGCAAAACAGTGGCTTAAGGGAACATTATAACTAAGTATATTACTTATATTCATATCTGGATAAATGTAAAATACCCAAAATACATGTTATAGCATGTGCCATTCCTTTTATATGGTGTTTTGCAACTGAAAGAGATGAGTTAATGAGAAAATGGCATTGCCTATGGTATCAAGCATATCATGTTGATATAAATTACAAGTTTTGAGGTGTATGGTTTGACGTATTTTGAAATATATGTATGTGAGATACGGTAGCATCCCTTACCACTTATTTGCCATCTCACTTTCCTTGGTTCTAGTTACCTGTGGACAACCAGGGTTTGAAAATAGGTGAGTATAGTACAAAAAGATATTTTGAGAGAGAGAAAAATACCACATTTATATAACTTGTATTACAGCATATTGTTATTATTTTATTAATAGTTATTGTTATTAATCTCTTACTGTGACTACTTCATAAACTTATCATAGGTATGTATGTATTGGAATACTCATAGTATATATAGCGTTCAGTATTTTCTGAGATTTCAAGCATGCACTGTGGGTTTGAGCATATCCTGTGGATGAAGGGAACTGCTGTATGTACATATGTACGCATGTGTGTGTGTGTGTGTGTGTGTGGTCAAGAAATTATAGCTTATCATCAACTAGCTATTTTATCAAGCAATCTGGAATCCAGGTTAAGTTCTGGTGTAGCAGGGTTCCCAGTTGAGCTGAAACTCGGATTCAGTTTGGTTTTCTCTCATAAACTGATGGAGCAGTAGAAGTCCTCCCTGCCAATTATTAGAAAAAGTAAATGTGCACGGGGAATAAATAACTGCTGGGATAAAACTTCAAACCCCGGGTGCCTCCAGTAGAGACACAAGAGATAAAGCACAATAAAAGATGCATGCTTCAGGACTATAAATAAGAAGACAAAGAAATGTTTCCATAAGAGATTTTAGGACATAAGCAGTAGTACTTCAAGCTGACAGAGTTGGCTAGAGAAACAGTCACCTCATTTCTATAGAACAAGTCAGTCCCCAGTAGGGTGCAGTTTAAAGTGAATGCAGCATCAGTTAGCAGTGTGGGAAATTGTAACCTAGAAAGAACATGTATATGGCCTTATTACGGGACAGCAGTGTTCTACTGGAAGATCCTGACATAAGACAGAATGGTGGCGCTCCTACATGAAGGATCTTGTAAGCACAAGGGTGGCTAGTAAGTGAGTAATGTGAGCAAACCGGTCATAAGGACATGTGAGACCCTTCCCCCAGGTCTCCCAGAAAAGAGGGGGAGACTTCGTGGCAAGAATACTTAAGAAATTATGTAGAAACAGCTGTGAACCCGTGTAATTTGAGCATTACTGTTTGACATTAATATATGTACCAATAGGCTGGTGCCATCTAGAAAAATGCGGCTTAAATTCCAGTCTGTAAACACAAGACATTAAGGAAAAAAAAGACAATTATTTGAGGAAAATATTTAGACTTTTGTCATTTGCTTTAATTTTTCTTTTCTTCTATTTTTTCCAAATTCACAACTGACCCCTGTGATATTGGACATGAGTTGACTAAATAACAAAGCCCCTCCATAACTTATGTAACCCATAATAGCTCAAAAATATTAATTGAATAAATGAATTGACTGTTTAAGAGTATTACATACAAAATATAATGCTGTTCCTGTTTCTGCACAATGGAGAATTCATTTAATTCACAATTCCAAGCAAGATTTTATTTTTACTATTAAGTAGATTTACAGTGACGATCCTAACACAAAAACAGAATACCACAACAGAAATTTCTAATTTCTCATAGAGAACACGGACCCAAATCTCAGGTTAGAGAGAAATAAGAGCAATATGACCTCGTAATATTTGGGCATAACAAGTTGTTCTTTGTTACGTGAAATAGAGTTCCATTCATCATTAACCCATTACATTTAATAGTTGGCATTGAGGGATGCTGATCCAGGGGCTCATCAGATATAACCAGACTCTGAGTCCTAGCTTGGGCTCAACTAGAATGCTAGCTTAACAACAACAGTATTAACAACAAAAATAACAATGACTTAAATAAGATAAATCTCTCACACATAGAAAAAGGTCTGAAAGTAGGAATTACAGGTAGATATGGTGGCTCCACAATTTTCTCAAGGACCCAAGTTCCTATCTTTATTCTGTACCATCCCAGCCTTGCTTCCCACCTTCAGAATCACGTCGTGTTCCAAGATGGCTATTGGCTCTCCAGCCATCACCACTGATTTTCAGGCTAAAAGCTAAGAGGAAAGGCAGGAGGGCAAATGGATCTTCCATCTGAGTTAGTTTCCTTTGACCAATCTTCAGAGAACTCTCACAAGTATCTCTCTTAAACAACTCAAGGCCAGAATTTAGTCCCATAGCCAAATTTAGCTGCAAAATCTGGAAGGCAATATGTTTTTTATTATGGGAAGCAATATAAAAATTCTAGTTTGTTTCTAAAGAGAAAGGGATGAATAGATGTTGTAGCAAGAAACTGGCGAGTCCTACCACAATAATACTCTAAAAGTTAAATATATTATTAATAATTCACTTCTTGAAGGAAAAACTGAAGATCCCAATGCAAGTGGTGTAAGATAATGATAATTTTGTATACTCATTTGAAATCCAGAACAATATGTGCATGCACACACACACACACACACACACACACACACGTAATCTTAACATCATTCCCTTAGCCATATTTATTAAAAGCTGCAACCATTTCTTTAGTGGGCAGAAACATGCATCTGCTATTACTAGACACATATATCCTTTAATGTCTATCATATGTAAGTATATATAGTAAATTATATACAATTCTCATTACAGCATGTGTGCTCAATAATCCTGAACAATCAATATCAGAGCGTACAATGGCAAAATTAAGCAAGAAACGTTCCTAATAGTTTTCCATCCCAAAGTTTACTTCAGATTAAACAGTTACATATCTGAAGAACAAATGAATGTCTTCACAATCACTTCTTTGTGATTTTCTTTCCCAGACAATTGATTCCCAAATCAATTCTTTTCCACACAATGATTTATTTGGTAGTTGTTCTCTGTAATAAAGACGATTTATACCAAAGCATTAAATATTGCTACTTGTAAACTTGGAGTAAACCTACTATTTTGTCTCAGTTCTATATTTTTTTCATGCCCCTCTCACGTTTCCTGTGTTTCCCTAAGAAGCCATGATTCAAAAAAAATGGACAATTTTCTTTTCCCTCAAGATTTTTGTGAAGAATGTAAAGTTAGAATTTGTTATAACAGTGTCTCTACAGTCCCCATGCATTTTGATTAATACCAAATAAATACAACACTGAATTTTTATTTTTATTTTTTAATTAACAATATAAATTCAGAAATTTTAAGGCTGAAGGGGATCTTGGTACTGATCACACCACTCAGTTTGCCAGATGAGGAAATTGGCAAATTTATCCAGGGTGATTGAACCCTAAAAGGTGTAGGTAATAAACCTAAATTCATGGATTATGTTATAGTGTAAAAACCATGTAATTACATGAAAAGTAACTGCTAATCAGAATAAAATTAACATAGACCAGTTATATGTTCATTTTTCTACTCAAGAAGGCATATTAAGATCCAAAACAAATATAGAAATCAGAAGAAAATGACCTACAGAAGTAACTCTAACAATGCCAGTAGAGATCTAATATATTGCAAATCTACAGAAAGTCTTCCCTATTGGTTTTCAAGTTCCTATTCTCAGTATAAAGGAAATGATCTTTTTCTATTTTAATTATCTTGTTTGTTTTAGGGGACAAAACTTATTAGGCACCTATCTTTATGTTATCAGCTAAAATTTCTGATTTCTTATTCACTCATCTATTTAATGTGCCTTTTTTAAAGTACCTAATATATTCCAAGCATTATGCTGGACATCAGGATGTACAAAGATGATTATGAACCAGTCATTGTTTCCAAAGAGAAAGGAACATAAAGAGATTATTATAAACTCAAGTGGTAAAAGCAGTAATTTCTATAGGCAGAGGTCATTATGAGAACTGAGGAAAGGCACTCAACCCAGCTTGGAGAAAGTAATTACTAAACCAAGACATATACGATAAATAGGATTAATAGTTAATCACAGGAGGATCATTCTAGTCAGAGGAGAGCTCATGAACAAAGCCATAAAAGAAAGAAAGCTGAGTATGAAGAGAGAATAAGAGGCCAGGTGTGGTGGCTCACGCCTGTAATCCCAGCACTTTGGGAGACTGAGGTGGGTGGATCACCTGAGGTCAGGAGTTCAAGACCAGCCTGGCCAACATGGCAAGACCCCGTCTCTACTAAAAATACAAAAATTAGCTGGGTGTGATGGTGGGTACCTGTAATCCCAGCTATTCGGGAGGCTGAGGCAGGAGTATCACTTGAACTCGGGGGGTGAAGGTTGCAGTGAGCCGAGATCACACCATTGCACTCCAGCCTGGATGACAAGAGTGAAACTGTGTCTCAAAAAAAAAAAAGAAGAGAGAATAGGAAAAAAGTCCATTTTGTGGGAAGCAGAGAACAGTAAACAAAAGGCAAAAAGTGGCAAGTGATGCATAAGTTAAAATATGGCTTCATGTGCCCAATTAAAGAGCTAGGATTTGATTTTTTTTTTCAAGGGAAGATACTGAAGGATTCTAAGCCAGGGGAGAGTGTATATAATAGAAACAGAAGAGGCAAGGGAGATGATTTTGTAACATTTCTATTTGAGAATGTTTACCCTAATGGCCGGGTTGATAATGGATCGGAGGGGGTAGGACTGAAGGCAGAGTGGCCATATATAGGAGATACCCATTAAGTGACGATGAGGACCTGAAATGGGGCAGAGGTAAAAAATAAGTGACATCTGAGAAAAGTGGTTTCCATTCCTCTCTGCACATTAGAAAAACAAATTCTAGGGCCTTACTCCCAGAGATTCTGTTTTAATTGATCTAATATTTTTAAAGATCTCCAGGTGATTCTAGTTAGCAAGGGAGGCTGAGAACCACTGATTAGTTAATTTAGTGGTCTTTGATAATTACAGAAATATGAGCTGTGCAAAAGATGGAGGAGTCAAGAATAACTGCCAGTGTGCTAGTTTTAATTACTGGGTGAAAGCCTCAACAACTGGCATAGAGAATATTATAGAACAATCTATTTCAGGGAAAGAAAGAATGAACTTAATTTTGAAAATGGAAAATTTAAGACATCTATGGAATAAGCAGATGTTTATTAGATGATCGAATATAAATGATCACGTTTGGCAACACTGACAATTGAGTAATACCTGAGAGTTATTAAACCATAAAAGGAGATTACATAGGATAAAAAGAGCACTGAGATGATAATTGAACCCTGAGGAACAACATTCAGAGAATAACAGAAGAAAAAGATATTATAGACAAACAAAGGACAAAATAGATAATCACAAAAAAAAAAGTTGAGATTTCCATGTTCCTATGGAGTGAGCAACAGTTTCAATACAGGAAAGAGCTCCAATTTATTTTAAAAATTGCAGGCCAAGCGGAGTGGCTCATGACTATAGTCCCAGCACTCTGAGAGGCTGAGGCAAGAGGATCCCTTGAAGCCAAGAGTTTGAGACCAGCCTGGGCAACATAGTGAGACCTCACCTTTACAAAAAATACAAAAATATCTGGGCATGATGACGCTCACCTGTAGACCCACCTACTTGGGGGACTGAGGCTGGAGGATCCCTTGAGCACAGGAGTTCGAGGCTGCAGTGAGCTAGGATGCTGCCAGTGGACGGACTCCAGCCTGGGTGATAAAGTGAAACCCTGACTCAAAAAATAATTTTTTTTTTGCAAAACATTCATAGGCTATAACAACTGGAGATGAGAAGAGAAACATGAGAAACGTGGATAAGAGAATTTAAATAGTACCTGTACAAAAATGCAGGTTATGTGGGGAAAGAAGAGAGCAAAATCTTGGAATGAGAAATTTAAAGAGTGTATATGTTGAGAGATAATTTTAAAAGGAAGAGATTAAAGGGCATGTCACCCGATGAGAATGGAAAAAAGGAGACCTCTGCTATAAAAAGAGCAATACACAGATATACAGTCATGCACCCCAGAACAACATTTCAGTCAGTGACATACCACATATATGACTGTGGTCCCATGAAATTATAGTACCATATTTTTACTGTACCTTTTCTATCTTTAGAAATACAAATCTGACCAAGCCCATCTGACCAGGCCTTCTTTACTTAACCAATTTCAAGTTTCTATGACTCTATGCTCTTTAATGTCAGAGCTCACCCACACTGTACACATTGTACTCAGATTGTGTTATGTTTTTTTTCCAGGCAAGTTCCTGTTCTCTCTCAGTCTTCTTTCCTCCAACTGACTGCTGAAAAATTATGACAAATTTTCTCACACTGACAGTTATATGAGCTTAATATGTTATTTTTTCCCAAATAGTTACCTTTTATGCAGGAATAACAGGATGTCATCATTTGGTAGTGTTTTATGCCAGTGTCATGCTTGGGTAGGATTGATGATTTTGATTATGTGCACCCCCACGCAGTCAAACACCTCCCCAACAGGAAGTCATTTCGTCTACTTACATACTGGTTTTTTTTTTTCTGTCATGTCTTGTTTTTGTTTTTATTTTGCTTGCTGATTACAAGAAAACCTCAATCTCCAACAGAAAAAGAGAAAATGAAGGAGGCTTCATGTTGCTATTTAATCTTTGGTATTAAGGAATAAACAGATGTACATTTTAAATATAATTTCATGACCAGCAGGCAAGGACAAGAGGCAGGGTGAGGTCAGGAGATATGTGTAGCTTATACCCTCTATATAATACAAAGGAGTATTCATATGAGTAATACCAATAAAATATAGATCAAAGCCTTTCTTACTACCTAAGGTGAACTGAATATAAAGAAAAATGAATTTGAAAATAAAAGGCAGCATTTTAGAAGGCAGTCTTGGGAAAGGGACTGGGGTGATGAAACAGTTGATTTCCTACACTTCTTCATTCCCTATGCCTGCTCTCTAAATGACCTATTTTTAATGCTTCATCTTATTCTCACAAGTCTCAAGAATATTGTGAAGAAGGCAATCAAAATTGCAAACATTGATTTTTAAAATATATATATACATAAAGGATAAATGACGGAATTGTTTGTGTTGAATGTCAACAGCAGAGAAAGAAAGACCTAACTACCTAGTTAGTCAGTTTCCTAAAGGAACCTGACTTAGAAAAAGAGGTTTATAAAAATTTGGGGGGAAAATAGCCACTTCATTTCTTCCTGGTTACCAAATATCTCGACAGTCTTTTCTTTTTCAGTTACAAATAAGTCTGCCAAAAAGAAAAGCAAAATTGTTTACCTACCTACCCTACAACTCTCTTTTCTTTTTCTCAAGTTCTTCCTTACTTGGTTTTTAAAGCATGAAACAATCCTCCCATTGCATCAACATATACAAAGAATAGCCAGGGAGTCTTTGCTCTGGGTCAGATACAAGATAATTCTTGCATGAAATTAGCTATTTCTTGGCAGAGCTAAAAATAACAAACTGTTTGAGATTTTACCATGGCTCATCCAACTTTGAAACAAGCTTCTCTTCCAAATTCCTTGTGGATAACTCGTCCTCTGCCTCTTCAACCTTGAAGTACCTGATGGAAGCATTTTCTTTCATAGGTGAATGCTTCCTTTCCAAATTCACAGAGAATTGCCACATGTTTTCTCAGGGTCTAATGTTGTAGGAAGTAAGTGTTATTGTAGAATTGTTATTACATATGCACAATTAAACCATATTATTTGTAAAAAAAAAATTAACAGGGATATATTATAAATCTGGAGCTTCTTCAAACACACTGTAAATGGAGTGCTACCAGCTTATTCAACACATATGTACATAAATATGTAACTACAGTGCTTACTATAAACTAAGACAAAAATGGATGTTTAACTTGGGCAAGAGAGGTAAGGAAGTACACCAGAGAGAAAGTATGCTAGACCTTCCAGGATATTGAGTGAAGGAAATTGAAGTTCAGAGATGGGAGTTAAAATTGGGGGATGAAGTGCAACACAAATAATCAAGTCTCGACGTCCCTAGGAAAGAACGGTATCAGCCCCCATACCAGAAAGGTCACAGTGAGAATGACAAAATTCAATACATAATAAAAATTAAGTTATGGGAATTTTTGAATTTTTTAATTGGGAGTTTGTACCAATTCTGTAGTCAAAGGAATTTTTAAAAAGGGAAAGAGGTAAAAGGTAAAATAAAATTATTATTTAAGGGATGTATTATTGGTATGGTAGAGTATCTAAGAAAATATAGAAATGAGGATACTGGTAGCAAGGGCTCTTGTTAGCAGGCTATCTACCTGGTTTGGGTTTGAGCAGATTAGGATCTGGGAAAATGTGGCAGCTCCAGCAATGAAAAGAAGTTAAAAATAATGAATATTAGACATACGTTTTAAAGAAAAAGGATCACGACTTTGATTTTCATTAAATATGATTTAGAAAAGAAGTAAAAAAGAACATTTATTTATAAATATATGTAGATATAGATATATACTTTTATCAAAGATATGTATATAACATACATATCTTACTTAAAAAAACATAGGGAAGTCAAGAAGGGGAATAGAATTGGGGTTATATCACAATTCCTAACAATATCTGGTTAAATAATCATTGGTTTGATAGATGGGGAAATAGCTTAGGATAGAGCAAAATCTCTGGGTTAGGAAGATTCAATGCTTCAATTCCAAATACAACCCCGCTTTGTGATATAACAACCTTTGCTTAAACACAAAGAGAGTATTCTGTTCCCACTTAGGTACTTCTCTTTATGGGAAGAAAGCTGTTCCTTGCAAGCAGCCAAAATCTATGTACTTAGACATGTCTCAGTGACCTCAATTCTCCCAATTGGGGCCATAAAGAGAAATGCAATGTGCGTTTTGGTAGAAAAGTCTTTACAGTATATTAACAAGACAACATAAAGTTTCCTGTACCTTCTATTATTTAGGATAAATAGTCTAAGTTTTTTAAACTGGTCTTCAAATTATTTGCTATTTCTTCACTTTCTGGTATTTCTCTCTTAAAATATAATGTTCATGTATGAATACTCTTGCAGACACTGTCTCATTACCAAGCATATTTAGACTTGTTCATTTTACACATAATAAATTTATTAAGACAGCCTTTTCTTTTTTTTTTTTTTTTTTTTTGAGACGGAGTCTCGCTCTGTCGCCCAGGCTGGAGTGCAGTGGCGGGATCTCGGCTCACTGCAAGCTCCGCCTCCCGGGTCACGCCATTCTCCTGCCTCAGCCTCCCAAGTAGCTGGGACTACAGGCGCCCGCCACTACGCTTGGCTAATTTTTTGTATTTTTTTTAGTAGAGACGGGGTTTCACAGTTTTAGCCGGGATGGTCTCGATCTCCTGACCTCGTGATCCGCCCGCCTCAGCCTCCCAAAGTGCTGGGATTACAGGCGTGAGCCACCGCGCCCGGCCTAAGACAGCCTTTTCTACCACCGATGTGGTCTGTCAGGTCATTGTTTTGTTTAAGCTCGAGTCCATTTCATCCAAAAATACTACTTAGTTAATTTTTTTGCCCATCTTTTTGATTGCCTAAATAACGTTATTAATTATAACTTTCTCATAATCCATCAGTTAAAACATGCACACACATATATATACACACATACACACACACACACACACACAAACTCTAGTGATCAATAGGACCATTTACCATAGTAGCAGACACAAATCCAAGAAAGTTTGTCAAGTCTACCTTAAAGGATCTCTTCACTAGAATCAAAGGAAGAGTCTTCAAATCCACTTCAGATAATTTCTCTTACTGATTCAACATTCATGTAACAGAAGCCACCAAATGACATTTAGCTAATGCCTGAAATGGATAAGCTTATGAAGAATGGCTCAACATTTTTTGGCGATGTCATAAAGGTTAAGCTTCAATAAGAAAGAAATTCAAGAGAAGTCATTTTATAATAAACTCATATACAACATATAACTGAAGAGACATGCTGAATCAGTATTTGATGAAAATATTCTTACGCTTATATAATTTAGATGTGTGTCCTTTCATACATAGCAGATTCTAATATGTAATTCTTAACTAAATAAAGAAGCTTATCACTGTGGAAACAAAAATGTTTACTTGAAGTCTGAAATGAACTCAACTGGGTGGAATTTATCTCAGAGGCCTCAGTGATGCTTGTATCATAAAATCTACATTAAAAATAGAAAAAGAATTAAATATAATAATCAAAGCACAATGTGTGAAAATAAGTACTCGGTAAATGCTACCTTGATCCAAATAGTGAAAAATTGCGGGGGCAGGAAGAGATGCTGAGAGTAATGGAAACTTTTACAACAGTATAAATTTGATTAATAACCTGACACATTAAAAAAAAAAAAGCTGGTTCAGACTAAGCCAGAAAAGGTACAAATAGAACTTGAAATCATAACTTTTGATAAAGCAGAAAAGATACAGCAGTATTAAAAATGAATTATGCAGTGACTAAAGTTAACTGTAAAGGTTGGTGGTCGTGTATTTCAGTGGAGCCCACTCTGTTCACAGCCACAAACCAGATTTGTTACAGTTTCTGATTTAAGACATTACAGGTGTGGAGACTGTGGTAGGTAGAATCAGAATATTTATAGGCCCTAGAAGTGGACACTTTAAAAATTCCAGAGAGTGCTAAAATTTCATTACTTTTTTCTTTAAGGTAGTTCCAGAAAACAGTGGATTACTTTCCTTCTGGTAATAAAAATGGTAGCAGTGTCAGTAATTTCAGAAAGGAAAAATTAGCAGCAAGATTATTGCTACTACATTTACAGTTAGATAGAGAAGTCAGATTTTTCATTCTGATTCCATTAAAATGAGGAATAATTGAAAATTCTATTTCCTCCCCCACACAATGGAAGACTCATATTTCTAATAATCTTCACTCACAATTTTCAAAAGGAAAAAAATTATAATAAAATGGCAACACATTATACCAGTAGTCATACTAACTTATTTTTCATAAGCTTAAAGGTGTATTTGCAACTTAGAGATACAAAAGGAATTTTATAAACACTTAGGCTGAAGACCAATTTGTCAAGTCAGAACCCAAGGGGGAACAAACGTAGGAAAAAAGGTAAATGGGATAATATACTTTAAAGACTAGAGAGAGAAAGGCAACTGAAACCATTAGATGAATGTTGTCCTAAAATTCTTCTTTGTCCATTCACCAAACTATGAAAATAAAGGGGAGAGAAAAAAGAAGAGAGTGACCTTAAATTTTTAAAAAATGGCTAAATTATTTACTTGTCAATGTTGACATTTTGAAAAGATCAACAATTTTGGTTGAAACTATGTTTTCTCAGAAAACTGAACATCTTTGTCTAGTAATGGGAGGAAAAGCCTTTAAAATCCTTTGAAAATTAAATAGCTAAACTAATGATTTAATTTTAAATCAAGGTATGTTATTATTAAATATTCATTTTCCATTTTATTTAATAAATATTTATTAAGCATCTTTTATGTGCGGATGGAGATACGCTGGTATACACAGATAAACAAGTCAAAGTGTTGTACTAGAAATTCTGGTAGTTCAAATGGTAAAAACTCAATTCAAACCAGTTTAAGTAAAATGAAGGAAGGAGCCGGGTCTGGGGGAGTTGTGCTTTTATCCCCAGGCCCAACTGAGTTTCCAGATGCTCACACAACTATTATGTTGTTTCAGCATTGGTCCTATTTGTAAGCAGTATCCTCCCCCCAGTTGGTAGCAAGTTGGACACTGGCAGTTCAAGGCGTTCATCATTGTCACAGCTTATTATCCCTGTGAAAGTAGTCCCCTACTCCACAGTTTAAAGAAATTCTTGGCGGGGCGCGGTGGCTCACGCCTGTAATCCCAGCACTTTGGAAGGTCGAGGGGGGGCGGATCACGAGTTGAGGAGATGGAGCCCATCCTGGCTAACACGGTGAAACCTCGTCTCTACTAAAAATACAAAAAATCAGCCGGGCGTGGCGGCGGGCGCCTGTAGTCCCAGCTACTCGGCAGGCTGAGGCAGGAGAATGGCGTGACGCGGTGGGCGGAGCTTGCAGTGAGCCGAGATCGCGCCACTGCACTCCAGCCTGGGGGACAGAGTGAGACTCTGTCTCAAAAAAAAAAATAAAGAAAAATTGATTAGCCTGGCTTGTATCATTAATTGATGCCCCAAACAGTTACTGGAGCCATAAGATCGAAGGTCTGATTAGGGGGTTTCATTCCACCCACACGGAATGAGGATCAAGTGAGGAGATAGTTCTTCAAAGAGGTGCTAACTAGACAAAAACCAAGCGTCCACCTCAGGTATTTCATGGCCACAAGAGCTCTGTATGTAAGATGAATAAGATCTGAGTTTAGTCCTCACTCCGCTGATTACTAGTTTTGACCAGCCACCCAATCTCATTAACTCTCAGTTTCTTGTAAAGTAGGAACATAAATAGTTTATCTGGAAAGACAATGGGGTATTCTATTCATCGAATGACAATTCCAGGACAACACACTTGCCTAGTTTTATTTCTTTCTCACCAGACACCACTTCTTGTTGTCTTCTGCTGCATCCTCCTCTCGTAGTTAATTTCTCAGTGGGGAACGGACTAGTCCTCTGGTCTGCTCTTCTCCACCTGCAACATCTCTTTAAATGACCGCATTCTCTCTCATGGCCTTAAATACCATCCGAATATTTAATTTCAACTCTGACTTCTCCCTGCCACTCCAGAATCTTATATCTCTATATCTACTTGATATTTCTACATGAATATTTAATAAACCCAAAACAGAACTTCTGATATTATAAACCCTCAAGCCCATTTCCTCCTGCACATATTTATTTCGAAAATCTAGGGGTTACTCTTGATTCTGTTTCTTTCTTTACCTTTCATTTCTACCTTACTGACAAGTCATGTAAATTCTACTTCTAAAACTTAACCCAAACTCATTCCCTCTCTCCGTCTTCACTAATAGTCCAGCTCAAGAAATTATTGTCTGTTTACTATTAACCTCCTAAATTATCTCTCCTGCCTTCCTATATTCTATTCTCAGCAGAACAGCCAGAATATTCCAGTTAAAACGTAACTTAGGTCACAACACACAAAACTTTCAAATCCCACTCAGCTTCCTATCTCACTTAGAGTAAAGATCTTCATCTCTAGCATTACCTACAAAGCCCTGCATGGTCTGGGACACATTATCTTTCCTACCTCATCTCTTGACCATTCCTATTTCTCAACCACATTAGCTCATTCTTGCCTTAGGGGTTTCTTTCCAGCCTCTCCTTTTCCTGCTCTTCCCTTTCTCTTCTTCTCAGGCCTGATTCTTTCTAGTAGCTATCAGTTTAAATGTCTGGTAGCTATCATCTTTGCAAAATGTTGTTTTCCAATTAATCAAAAATGGCCACCCAATCTCACTCTATTACAGGAGTCTGGAAACTTTTCCTGCAAGTACTAGATAGCAAATATTTTTAGGCTTTGCAGGCCATATGTTCTCTATCACAGCTAATTGACCTTGGTGTTGCAGCAGAAAAGCATTCATAGACAATATATAAGTAAATGTGTTGCTGTGTTCTGATAAAACTTTATTTGCAAAAACAAGCCAGCATAGTTTGCCAATCCTTGTTCAATAACATCAAACTGTATTGATCCTCTGCTTAGCTGAATCTTATTTGTGTACTGTGCTTTTGTTTATTAGAATTTAAACTCCACTGGAGCAGCAGCAACCTTGCTTATCTCAATCATTATTTTGTTTCCAACACCTATTGCCTGGAGCATAAAGGGAAATACTTATTGAATGAATGAGTGGATAAATGAATGAATAAAACTAGTATGTAAAATCCAAAACAGAAAAAATGCAAACACCATCTCAGAGAGCTTACCTAATATTTCATTATGATAAGAAAGATTCGAAAATTGTTACTATTAGTAGGTGATTTTACTATTCAAAGGCTTGCCTTTATTCTTTAGGTACAATGATACCATATAATGATAGAAAGTGAAAAGGGAAAATTAAATTGTGATTATACCGTATATATTTTACAAATTCTACTCATTTTTGCTTTCCATTAAGATACTTCTCTTGCCAGTGCTTCTCAGCCTGCAGTGATTTTGCCCCCAAGGGAACGTTTGGCAATGTCTAAAGACATTTTTGATTATCGCTTCTTGTAGGAGTTAGGGTACTGTTAGAATCTAGAAGATAGGGGCCAGGGGTGTTGCTAAATGTCCTGCAGTGCACAGGACAAACCCCCACAACAAGGAATGACCCTGTCTAAAATGTCAGTAGGGCAGAGGTTAAGAAACTCTGTCTTAGGCTTGTTTCTCATGAAGATAGATTTTTGTTGTTTTTAGGGAAATTCTTACAGAATTTCTGGATGCTACCTTAGGCTGTGGACTAATGTTGAAAACTTCTGAGAAAGTAAATTGTATTTCTTAAAGGCCATAACTTTTATTTGAGATACAAAGCCATTCTGAAGGGTTCACTTCACATGGGGGAAGAGACAAGCCTTATTGTCACATTCATATTCCAAGAACATTCAGCCAATCCGATAAACTCTTTAAAGGAGTCAGACTTCAGACTGCATGTTCGTTAAGTGCCTACCACATTTCATAATATTCATTGGCCAAATGACAATAATGACAGTAAATTTGAGCTGACATCCTATTGCAGCAACAAAACAGGAAGGGAAGGAAGGAGCATTCCAAGGGCAAGAACAATACAGCAAATATCCTTTTATAGTTTTCATGTAAGCCCAGTGACTTTGTTGTTACATTGCTGATACTGTCTATTGTTGAGTTAACCTGGCTGCATGCCACAATATCTCAATAAGTTAAATGCAGACAAATAATAGCTGTAATTTCTTGACACTTGATGCTAGAGATAATTTTTCTCTTGTTTCTATTTTTCATAGATCTTAATAGAATATATCAAGAATCTGTTTATCTAAATACAGACCTATTATTGAGGATAATAAAGAGTACTTTCATAACCATTTACCTCATACTTACCTAACACAGCAGGAGAACAGGTGCGTGTGTGTGTGTGTGTGTGTCTGTGTGTGTGTGTGTGTGTGTGTGTGTTGAAGTTTTGAAGGGAGGGAGTCTAGACAACCAAAGTCAATGTTTGTACATCTTGATGCTGTTCATATCATTAAATATATAAAAGGGATTATACATGAACAATATGGGTAATTAGGTCTTCATGAAACTGCATAGAACTTTATTATTCAGTTTATTCTACTCCCAACCTCTGTGATTGTTTCTTCCCTGCCAATCTTTTGGGAATGTCTTCCTTCTATTTTCTTATGTTGGATATTTCTTAAAGTTCTGTCTTTGGTCTCCCTCATCTCATTCTGTATTCTGCTTTAGGATTTCATTTGCTCTAATGGCTTCAACTACCACTTCTGTGCCAACGACTTTCAGGTCTTTATCTCCACCTTTCCCCAACCTCAGAAATAGCTATTCTTCATTTTTAATAGCTATGGGTATATCTACTTGGAAATTGCAAATTCTCTTATTGGCTTAAATTGTGTATGTCTAAAACTCAGCTGACAGTTTCCTCTTTTTATGTGGAGCTTTTCCACTGATGCTAATACCATTTATCCCATTGGGTAATACAAAAACATAGAAATTACCCTGGCCCTTACTTCTCTCTAATGCATATCATATCGTAAAACCCTACCCTTTTTCCTCTGAAATATTCTTAAACAGGTTCACTTCTCCCCTGTTTCTCACTACCACACAGTCTATATTACCACTTTGTCTTCTGATTATGGTACTTTCATGCTTAAAAATTTTCAGTGTCATCCTCTTGCTCCTAGCTTAACACAAACTATAAGGCTGTACATGATTTAGCTTTCTTTCCCCTCTTTTCTGGGATTGCACCTTCTCTCCCCTTGCTCTCTGCTCCAGCAACATGGCCATCTTTCCACGTCTTAGACAACCATCTTCTTTCTCCTCTCCATCAGATTCTGTAGTGGGTTTGTTGTTGTTGTTGCTGTTGTTTGTTTGTTTGTTTGTTTGTTTTTGAGGCAGAGTCTGGCTCTGCCACCCAGGCTGGAGTGCAGTCATGCAATCTCGGCGCACTGCAACCTCCGCCTCCCAGATTCAAACTATTCTCATGCCTCAGCCTCCCGAGTAACTGGAATTACAGGCGTGCGCCAACCATGCCCAGGGTTTCACAATGTTTGCCAGGCTGGTCTTGAACTCCTGGCCTCAAGTGATCCACCTGCCTCGGCCTCTCAAAGTGCTGGGATTACAGGCCTGAGCTACCACGCCTGGCCCTGTCATGGTTGTAGCAGCATACACATGACCTCTGTTTTAGAAGGCCTTTTGCTGCCGTCTTCTTCTATTTGACTCCCTCTGCTTACTCTTCAGATTTCAGTTTAAGAGTCATTTTAGTGGGTGAAACAATCTCCCTAGAAGCACTAGAAGCACTTTTTCTCTGGTCTCAAGTGCTTGTCACATTTGTTACTTTCATGTTTATGTTTCTTTGTATTGTCAAGCATCAAAGGTGTCTTCCTCAATGAACTGTAATCTGTTTGCACTCAGCATTTCATCCCCAGCATTTAGCATAGCTTCTGGCACATAATAGAATATCAATCAGTATTTCTTAAAAGTATAAGTAAAAATTACTCATCATTTCAACTTACCAGTCCACCCCCAAAATTCTTACATTTCTGATTTCTCCAGTTCTGATAGCATTAGCATCATCTCCCAAACGCCAGTCCCAAATTTTCAGATTTACTTGGCTTCTGTCTTTCTCTCTTGGTATCACCCCTGATTGTTTGCCAGGTGCCATGGATTCTGCCTCTAGAGCATATCGTCCTATAAACTTTCTCAATGCCATTACTGCTCTTCCCTGGTGCAGGGAGGTGCTCCCCATCCTGTCCCTGCGCTATTACAAAATCACCCACCTGGATTCCACATATAATCTCTTCTTGTATCAATCTTTCTTTTTGTCTTCCAAAAATAATGTTCTTGTTGCTCCTATCATCAAAACGATTTTAGGGTACCAACTGTGTGTCTATTCAATACAGTATCTGGCATTTAGGTTCTCTATGATCTTGATTCGATGAACGTTTACCCAATTATTTCTAAACATTCTCTTTTTACAGATTATATTCCAATCAAACTGAAATATTTTGTGTGCTCAATACATGCCTTGCATTTACCACTTCTAGGACTTTCTCTGTACAACTTCTTCCCTATGGATTCCTGTCCTTCAAGCACAAATTCTACTTCCTCCATGGTCTTTTCTGATTCTTTCAGACAGACATAGCTCCCTCAAATGAAACACTACAAAACTTTTCACCATATAGTAGCTTGAGTTCATGGCTTATTTCCTTTTCTGGACTATTTTCTTGCAATCCAGGATTCTTTCTTATTTATCATTGTGTAGACTACAGTGTTTAACACCAGGAATTTGGACACAAATGATGTTCAAGAGATAGTTCCATTAATTGCTTCATTTATTTCTTTATTTTTCCTATGTACATTTAATCTATGAGTGATAAATACTTTCTTATGTATTTTATATTCTTTCAGTTTTTCCATATATTTTTTGAAAAGGGAGCCAAGAAATAACATTTTATGAAGCATGTCTCTTTTGCCTTTTAAGTGTTTCAGGCTGGGCACTGGGACTCACGCTGATAAATCTCAGCACTTTTAGAGGCTGAGACAGGAGGTTTGCTTGAGGCCAGGAGTTCCAGACCAGCCTGGCCAACAGAGTGAGACCCCGTCTATGCAAAAGAATTTTAAAAAAGAAGAGTACTTCATTTTTCCCCAAAATCAACAAAGTCATAAGAGTAGGATTTTTAAAGTATTTTTTGGGAACAATGAGCATAAATACTTGTTAAAATGTACACTTTTTTATACTCAAAGATGACATGAAATTCATAAACTGGTAAAAGACTGGAAAAAGATAAAATTTATCTAATTAGTAGCACATATGATAGCATGAATATAATAGCCCTGGAAAACTTTAAGTGGTTTTTACTACAACAGTTATATTCCTACTGTTCCTTGAGGGCATTAAACATCGCTGTTACTGACATTTTAAGCCAGGACAACTCACTATAGTATTCAGTTCCGTGCTAGTCAACCTAGAAACTGTAATTTTGAATTGCTAACAATACAGATGTTTTCCTCTTTTCTGAAAAGCGTACTAACCTTAAATGAAAACATAGTATTTTTAACAATTATACCTATGCTTTACCAAATGCCTTGCACAAATTTTTTGGTGAGACTCGTCTATATTTTAAAGTAGTCTTTATTTTCCATTTTAAATATTCTTTCTGCATAAACCATATAAGCATTACATTTTTTTACTACACAGATTTTTTTACCTTAAATGTCTTTTAAATACTTCATTGCTCCAAGCCATATGCACACACCCATATTTCAGTGTGATTAGTAAAGTGCACACAGTATAAAAGAGTTGTAGATTAAAAGGAGAATGTAAAAGTATAGAGTATAAAGTTTAAATACCATCTCTAAAGAATCTACACATATAAAAATCATGTTGGTAAAACCACAAACCAACCAATGCCTGGAAATCTTTCCTTTTCAAATTTCAAGGCTTTTCCAAACAGAGTTTTAAAACACTTAAGGCCTTTCTGTGAAGTAAATTTAATGTGCATATGTGCATACATGGAAGTGCTTAAAAATAAAATAATCCCATCTGTGGACCATTTTAAAATTTAACTCTTGTGGTCATAGGACCTAGAGTGAATGTCATCTTTCAAAATTGAGGTGTGCTAAGGAGACAAGCTATTATCTCTCAAGATACCTTGGTATGTGGCAAAGGATAGTTATTCACTTAAAATGAAATTACAATAAAGAAATCCTATTCTTTATGTTAACATAAACATTGCGTTTGTGTTAACATAAGTTAAACATATATTTGTTAATTTATTCTCCCTTAAGTGAAGGAACCAAGATAACAATAATGAGATAAAAAGCATTATTTAAAACAGTGACGATCAGTAAAATGTTGATGAAAAGACTCTATTTTAATAATGGCTGAATTGAGTTACTGGAATATCTTATTCTTTAATAATTGCAGCAGTGATAATTATTACTATTATTGTTATTTCTATATTTGGCAGCATTTTATACCTTCTATGTTTTAGTTTATGAAATTTATGGAAGTTATTTTGTGGTATACAAGTTTGCCTTGAGTATGACAGGTAACTCACATTTTGAACTTAACGTGTGACTATTTAATAGGTACCATGCATTATGTAAAGTATTTTACTTGTATTTTCTCAGTTAATTCTTCAATTCTTACAACGTCTCTATGTGGTAGGTATTGTTATCTCAATCTAAAGAATTGGTGTTTAGAAAATTAAGTAGTTTGCCCAAATCACATATCTGCTAAGGAGCAGACTCGGATTCAGACACAGGCCTGATTCCAGAGCCCATCCTTTTAATTTCTCACAATACAAACTTCCTAAACGGGGACATTCTGAGCTAAGACTGTCACAACATTTAATCCTAACAACAATGACATGATGCAGAAAATGCTGCCTGTGACTTAAACATTAAAATTGCAACACAGATAAATTAACTTGTGTCATTAACCTCAGCTAATGATTTTAAATTGAGGTCTATCTAAATTTAGAGCCCATGCTGTTTCACTATTCCGGTCCAATTGGACTTTCAGCAAGCATGGAAGTGATCTTTCTCTTTGGCTCTCCAATGAGATTGTCACTAGCCACATGTGACTATTGAACACTTGAAAGGTGGCTAATGCTACTGAGGAACTGCATCCTAAATTCTATTGAATTAAAATACAAATTTAAATGATACATATGGCTAATGGCTGCCAAACTGGACTGCACAGCCATCACTGAACTTTCTTATTCTGACCTTATAAGCAACATATAAAGAGAACTTTATGAAAAATTGTTAAATGAGCTCACTTATTAAATTAACTCAATTTTAAATAAATTGTATTATTCCTCATAAGTTAATCCTTTAACTCATTATAAACCAGAATTTCCAAGTAAAGTAACCCAGTGATTTATAATGCAGAACTCAAAAATTTTTCATTTGAAATTGTTGCTATAATTTTTTTCCAGTTGCTTTACTTCTCTTTAACTTCCTGTCAAATTACCTAAAAATAAAAATTAAAAAATCAAACATTTAAAATCATGTTAGGAAAATATTTCTGCATACATCCTTGACAGCCTCCCCCTTTCGCTTTCTGTATCTAGAAAATGTGAACTCAGCATCTAATCTTTCTCTTTAAATCTGTTTTGTAGTTTCCTGGTTATGTTATGACATTCACAGATCAGTAAATCCCAATCTGGAGGAATAGGTGTCAGAAATGAGACAGTTAAGTCAAGATGGGATTGAGCTTAATGTCACAGTTCCTAGTCTGGGCAAACCCCAAGGCACAAACCTTTTACTTTTTCTCTCTTTCAGTAACATGAGAAAACAACCCCAATCTTACAAAATTAAATGTTTCCCCAGGCTAAGGTGTGCAGCAAAAGTTATTGGCAGGCAAGCTGCCTCAGTACAGCTTAAACTGCTTCTTAAGATGGAGGATTCTGAGGCAACCTCTTGTTCCATTACCTCTCCCAGCAGCCCTCCAACCCCCGCCCACACCTTTACCACACACATACACATTATAGGACCTCAGGCTACTTCTAAATGTTATTTACATTTTAGGATTAGTCTTAGAATTGTCTAGGATAATATCTGGTCTTCTGAGAATCATCAAATAAAACAACTTATCTTTAGCTTGTAGACTTGATACAGATCCTCCTTATGCTACTCTGTCTCTTCTTATCCTATTCTGCCTTTAGAATCCAGACAGTATGCTCAAAGTCAAATGATTAAGAAAAGCTATTGATCTATACTAATGTATACTCATACCTGCTGAACAGTTTTTATCACACATATTTCCCTGATTTTTCTTAGAATCCAGGAATGTCAATGTAAAGTTTGATTCAAATGTAAAATCACTCAGAGTAGTATTAACTCATTTTTCTTCATGGTTCAAAAACCAAGCACTTTTCTCCCTAACATAATCATTTCCTTTAGGTTTGTTTTTGTTTTTGTTTTTTTCCCCGGCTCCATTTTAAGATTAAGCAAAACTTTCACACTGTAGCTCATATATCAGCAGGATGGAAATGATTTAGAAATTATTAGCCACATTTCTGGTCATGTACCTCTCTGGACTTCATGTGAATTTTATTATTAAATTAGATGTATTAGATGTAAACCTTATTGGTTTTCTGTTAGTGCCTGAATTGTAACTGTGTCTCTTGTATGCTGTGGCCTTGATCAAGTTGTTTTAATTCTCTTGTATTTGATTTTTAATCTGAAAAATGGTAATAGATGGGACTACTGTGAAGATTATATGAGATAATCCATGTACTTAACATAGAGCTTGACATATTAGAAACGCTTAATAAATGATGTTAGTATCTTTCTATTGTTGTCCATGTAAATAGATGTAGGAGAATTGACTAAGTATTCATTTTGGTCTACATGTAGAGCCGTTTACAGTAATGGATGTTGAGTCTAAACCAGGGAGAATTTAAATTTACTAAAATGAGCAAGTTTGAAATGCTCTCTTAGTTCTGTAGTATTCTAATCCAAGGTAATAAAAAATATCAAATATTACTTATATGTGAAAATGGCTGAGAGCATCTATAAAGTGTCACGCACGTCTGAGTGAAGAGACCATCAAACAGGCTTTGTGTGAGCAACAGGGCTGTTTATTTCACCTGGGTGCAGGTGGGCTGAGTCCGAAAAGAGAGTCAGCAAAGGGTGGTGGGATTATCATTAGTTCTTATAGGTTTGGGGATAGGTGGTAGAATTAGGAGCAATGTTTTGAGGGCAGGGGGTGGATCTCACATAGTACATTTTGAAGGGTTGGGGAGATTACAAAGAACCTTCTTAAGGGTGGGGGAGATTACAAAGTACATTGATCAGTTAGAGTGGGGCAGAAACAAATCACCATGGTGGAATGTCATCAGTTAAGGCTATTTTCACTTCTTTTGTGGATCTTCGGTTGCTTCAGGCCATCTGGATGTATACGTGGAGACACAGGGGATATGATGGCTTAGCTTGGGCTCAGAGGCCTGACACAAAGAATCAAATCTGAAGACAGGATGCTAATGCCTGAAAACATAGTTTTTTCCCATTTTTAAAGAATATTCAAACATAAATCAGAAATAATAACACTGATATTTCCTAAGGTTTTACCTGGAGTGAGTTAATACCAATTTGTATATTTTTAAGCCAGAAATAATGCTCAATGTATAGACCAAAAAAGGAAGTACTACTTTTTATTGATCAAATAAATTCTGCTTTCTTATTTTCTTTATTTTGTATTTGCTCAAGGAAAGCTACTTGGAGACTAAATAAAGAACAGAGTTGGGAGAGGTAAAGTACCAACTTCTTGACCACATGTGAGGAGTTCTTAGACTGGCCCTCCTGTGTGTATAGTTAGTTCTCAATTCACCACCATAATAAGGCCTGCTTTGGCATCATCTCTAAACTCAGAGATGATCTCAAAATTATATCTTCTTCTTTTTTTTTTTTTTTTTGACTGTCACCCAGGCTGGAGTGCAGTGGCGCAATCTCAGCTCACTGCAAGCTCCGCCTTCCAGGTTCAAGTGTTTCTCCTGCCTCAGCCTCCTGAGTAGCTGGGACTACAGGCGTCCACCACCATGCCCAACTAATTTTTTTGTATTTTTAGTAGAGACAGGGTTTCACTGTGTTAGCCAGGATGGTCTCACTCTCCTACCTCGTGATCTGCCTGCCTTGGCCTCCCAAAGTGCTGGGATTACAGGTGTGAGCCACTACTCCCAGCCTAAATTATATCTTCTTTATATGCTTCAGCTACATCTTCAACCAGTATTGTTTTCTAGCTTTTCACAGTAAAATTTATGCTTTCATCTTTTGAAAATACAGTCATAATGGTTCTATAAAATTTAAGACTGACTTGTTTATTCTTATTTCCTGAAATAAAGCAGAAAGAAAGCAGTTTAAAAATATATCAAAATAAAAATGTAATTATAAAAGGATAATATTTATTATTTCTATTTTAATACTGATTTACTATGTTGTGAGCATTTGGACACATAGTGTATGTCAGCAATCACAAGTTATTCAAAACACAGTCAAAAATAACACAGCAAAACATTTTGATAAGACTTGAAAATATGATTGAAAGCAATAAAATGCATTTCAAGACTAACATAATAACTTATTCAAAAAATCAAAATTAAATTTTCACTGGATCAGAACTTTTAATGGATCAAAGTCCTATCTGAGTTTTCTTTTATAGGAAAGTTTTAAAATGGCAATAAACCTATTTTTGCAAAGCATATGCTATATTAAGTGGCAACTTTGTAGTATATTTGAGAATATCTGAAAGATGTCAAGAGAATAAATTATTGTCACTCAGGAAAGTTTGGCTGCATGCTTTTGTCTTAACTTTAAAAGTAAAATTTAAAAGAAATTGTCAAAATGTTAGATGTGGTTCTCAAGAATTGAAATAGGACACTACTAGTGTAATGTTTTGTTCCTTAGGGAACTCTGGTTTTCATTTGAGCCAATAAGGTATCCAGCTAAAAACAGACCCCCTTGCAGCTACAAGTGGCTATGTGACCCAGTACTAGACAGTGGGATGCAGGAGGAAGGCCTAGGCCATTTAATTAAAAAACGTAAAACTTGCTAAGACAAAGCACTTTTGCCATTTGCATTTTCTACTGCTTTCTGTCTAGAACACAGGATCAAGCTTGCAACCATGAATATGAAAGACTATATGTTTAAGATGGTGGGAGCAGAAAAACAGGAGCCTGGGGAATTGACAACATCATGAATATGCTGCACCATTCTGGACCACTGCAGTCAGATAACTCCTTATATGAGAAAAATGGGTAACCTACTGGATTAAGCACCTATAGGTCGTGTTCTCTGTTGAATGTAACCAAAAACAAACCTAATTAATTCAAAACTCTGTAGAATTACAAGTATTAGGAACCTTGATATTTGATTATTTGGTTAAGACCAATAAAAGAATGAAAGATGATAATATGTACAAATGGAAAAGAAAAATAATATGTGTGTGTTCTCTTAAACATCTTCCAGTACAAGTTATAACTTCAGCAATTTTGAAAATTTTTAGTGATTCTAAAATAATGTGTTTTTAATGACCAAAAGCAGGCTGCTAATTCATCAAGTAAATAGTAAACTTGTTCCTACTTTGCTCAAATATGAAGCTGACTGATAGAAATCATCAAAGTCCTTGGGTTAAAATTGTTCAAATTAGAAGTATTGGTGTATAAAGAAAATTGACTTTTTACTAGGTTTGGTAATTATCCCTTCACATGATAGAAACATATGATACAGCAATTGAATTTTTAGTGTTTGTGTTACAAGCAGTATTTGAAAACATTTACTAATCAACAAATTTATATATGAAAAAAGCAGGATTGACTATAAAAAGGAAAATTAATTATTGTTTCATGATACATCCAACATTACTTTTTAAAATAAAATATTTATTCTGTGATCTATATTTAAATACACACTACCTTTTGATATTATATGTAAGTGAAAATTATCATTTCTAATGAAAAATTAGAGTGAGATTCAATTTCTACCATAAGAAAGTCCTTTCATAAAAAATATTCTGGAACATTTCCTGTGCCTATTTCCTCATGTATAATATAGTTACAAGAACATTTCTTAGCCCATAGAGTTGTTGAATTATATATATTAAGCACATCAAATAATATAATATCTTTCTTAAAGTAAGCAAATATTAATAAAAGATTGTTATTATCATTGTTAGGGAGGTAGATATGATGATATAGCCACCAAAATTTACATTTTCCTTCTGTAATATTGAGTTTTTGCTGGGAAGTGGCTTCCTAGCCTGGGACTGTAAACTACTCTTGCAACACAATGGGTTGTGTGATTAGTTGTTGCTTGTGGAATGTGAGTGGCAGTGGTATACACGGTATCACTTCTGGGCAAATGTATTTACAAAGTATGTAGATGTACCTTCCCTATGCTCTTTTCTCCCATTTGTCAAATATATGTGGAGGAGCTCCAAGACCTTATGAGATGAAGCGACAAAAGGAAAGAACCCTAGGTCCTTGAATCACCATATATTGGAAAGTCACTTACACAGGGATGATTAACACCAGAATCAGAGTGTGACATAAGTAAGAAACAAAATTCTATGATGTGAAAAAACTACAATGTTAATGTTAACTTGTTATTTGTTAGTCAATTGTCTAAATGTTTTATAAGTGATTTAATAAAATTCATATCATATTTATCAGCTACACGAAGAGCAAAATTCTAATTTTTCTTTTTTTTCTTTTTTTTTTTTTGAGACAGAGTCTCACTCTGTCACCCAGGCTGGAGTGCAATCTCGGCTCACTGCAACCTCCCCCTCCCAGGTTCAAGCAATTCTCCTGCCTCAGCCTCCCAAGTAGCTGGAAATACAGGCACGTGCCACCACCCCAGCTAATTTTTTTGTATTTTTAGTAGAGACGGGATTTCACCATGTTGGCCAGGGTGATCTCGATCTTCTGACCTCATGATCCATCTGCCTCAGCCTCCCAAAGTGCTGGGGTTACAGGCGTGAGCCACCGCACCTGGCCAAAATTCTAATTTTTCTATGGGTTTCTTATGATATTCTGATATATATATATTTTCTAAATACATCTTAAAGTACATTTTAAGCTCATTACATTATTTCATCTATATTTGAAAATTTTATATTCTATGAAGTTCTCTTATCAAACCCAATTAATTTCTGTGGGTTTGAAACTTAATTATTGAAGCCAGAAAATACATTACAGAAGCTATTATAATTCAAGATATATTTTTTGCACAAGATGGTCATAATGAATATTTACAATTAAAAGGAGTATGTTCTAGTAATTGATATTCTACTAATTTTTCCAGAGGTCAGTATTCTGTTAATGTAAGTTGAACCATCTTTCAATTGGCATTTGCCTGAAGTCATATTGTCTGTGATTTTAGTTACGATATTATGACCAGAAACAATAGCTATTTTATTCATACAAATGCTTATAATTTGATTTTAAAAATTCTGTAACCCTATTATTAAAAGCAAGATGGATACAATTTAAACCGTAGAAGTTGTGCTAGTATCAAGTATCTCAGTTTCCCTACCATTTAAAAAATAAAAGTAAAGAAATATTTAATCTGATATATTTTATGATATACTTAGATCCTTGAATGCAAGGGTACATATATGTATACACTTCATACATATACACATAAATATGTCCACAGATATATTGTTTAATCTTCTATTTGACCCCTATACAGAGTATGCTTATAGAGATTATATAGTTTATTTGCCCAATTAAACCTTATTTATATACTTTTCCCGTTTCAAAACTAGCTCTGGACTCATATATGACCCTTGACACATGTGTGTCTGTGTTATGTGTTTATGCATATGCATACATGGTTGTGCATTTGTAGACGGAAAAGGATAGATAAGGACCATTATTCAACATGTTTGGGTACTCATACTTCCTGGAGACACTTGTTATAGAGAAGTGAAAAACGCCAACCTCTGTCTTCATATATCTTAAAATATTAAAATATTTTTCTTTGAAAATAATTAGTGCTCATCTTAAAGGCATGGTGATATGATTGGTTTTGGCACTAACAACTATTTCAGGATGTTTCATTCATATTGTTTTGAAAGAGTTAATGGTTAATGTTGTATTTACTCAAGGAAACAGATTTGCAACCTGTCCAGTTGCTATGGGAACTACATTTTTATGTTCAATAAGTTAATCTATGTAAAAAAGGATAGAAACTGTAAATGATTACAGTAATATACATTTATTAAATAAGACTTTGGAAAATACTAAAAAGTATAATACGTCACCCATAGTTCTTTCAACAAACACATATTCTGTTGCTATTTTGAGACCTTTCCCTTCTTTTTCACCCCACACATTTTTTTGCAACTGTAGTGTTGTTTGTATCATGTATGCATTTTTACATCACTGGTTTCCAGCTAACATTATATCATAGTTGTTTTCATTAAAGCCATTACTTTAAAAAGAAACACACACACACACGGCACATAGGATTATCTATTCTTTTAATATCATTTTGCCATCTTGCATGTTAGTGCCTATGAAACAATCCGTGATAAAATGCATTTATATTCCTTCCCCAACTGTTCTTTATAACACATTTTTCTCTCACAAATTACCCTGTTCTTTAGTTCAGAATCCATTTCGCTCATTACCACTTATTATATTGCCATATATGGGCAAGTTTATACAAGGTTTCCTCATGGTTATCTGCCAGATTAACTTCTAACACAAACACCCTTTAGGAGAAATTATCTGTGGTGATTATGTTGCATCTCTATTGCTCTCTGCTTGCTCACATATCCCTCTCTATGATTGTTCTTTCTCCTTAAGCTCCAACTTTCATTCATTTATTTATTTGGCAAATATTTACAGAGCACTTTTACATGCCAGGCAATGTGCTTGGCACTCGACCACCACAATGGTGAGCAGGGCACAATTTTTGACAGTCAATTACAAATAATATGAAAAGTGCTTATTTGTGTAAATAGAAGGTATTATGACAGAAAGAGTACAGGCAATCAGTTCTGTCTTTGGGGAATCGAGAATATCTTCCTTGAGAACATGGCTTTATCAGCTGTAATACTGCCAGCCCAGGATATGAGTACCTGGCCAGAAAAGGAAGACTTAGTTGTTATGAAGGATTTCCTCAAATATTATTTTGGTAACTCAGGTAGATTCAGGAATGAAATATGCTACAACTGGAACAATGCAAGCTGTTAAGAAATGGGTAACCAAGTTCCAGCCAAAGAATTATCTTTAAAGTGGGGAAGGACCAAGGCAAACTCATTTTGCTACAGAGCTGCCTCAGATGACTGTCCCAATGGGTGGCCCAATGCATAGTACCTAATGGGCATAGCAAGCCCCCATAAATGTAATATGTATATTGATATCAGGAGGTTTAGCCCAGTGGGTGAAGCAGTACTGCAGATAATTCTGAAGTGCAGGACATTAGGAGAACTTCCTATACACAGCAGATCTGTGGACAGAAAGTCCTGGAGGCAGGATCTAGATTTGGGAAAGGGCCCTGGTCTCTGGCTTTGAATTCAGTAGGCCTTACTGTAAGACAGAGAAGCATTCGAGTAGAGTCGACATGCAATGGCATCTAAGGGAAGGAAACCCAGGCTGAAACTTTATGATATCCTGGGTCAACATGGAGTACAAGGAAGGCTGTGTTATTGGGAAGGTGACACACTTCAGGTACTAGCTACACTGAATTTGATTAGGTAGGTTTTTTTCTACCAAAATAAAGTATGCTTGCAGACACACTACATTATTTTCCTCCATTTGTAACCCTTCAAAATATAATTCTACACTATCAAGTTCCAGTAATATTTTCAGTAAAATGCTGTTAAATGATAAAGTACACGAGTAAAGAGGAAAACAAATAGAAAAGCATTGTCTGAGAAACACAAAGTCCCACAAAGAATCTAAATTTGGGAGTAGTGAAGAGGTCAGAATTTTTAAAAAATAAAGACTTTAAAAATTTAAGCAAACAATTTAAATTTTATTAAATTAGAAGAGTGGGCTATGTCTTAAACCAAGATGTCTTGGAGAAGCCTGAATCTTTGGATGTCAGCTTGTGGAGCTTCTGAGAATTAAGTGGCTAAGAAGAGTGGGGGCTCTACACTCTGTTATTTACATTGCTTTGTCAGCTCTCTTAGTAGGTGCTAACTTTGTGGATTTATGACATTACAAGCTTGGAACTGACTAAATTTTTTGAAATGAATTCTCTCCCTAAGTTCCATTATGGTAAATAATTCCTGCTGATGGTCTTAAAATAAGAATCTGAGAAGGACACAAGAAATTCCCATAGACTATCTCAGGAATTTACTTGCTGACTCAAGAATCCCATTTTATTAAGCAATAGGCAGAGGCCTATATAGATGGTATCTATGACTCGTGTGAGTCGTCAAATGCAGGAACATCCTCAGACCAAAAATTTTCCCTGACTTTACAATCTTCTTAAAGTTCTTTATTTTATTATGCAGTTTATAAAGACCAAGTATTGAATTAATACATGTTCAACATAAAACATTTTGAAAGTACTGATTGTTAAGATGGAAGAAATATCCATCAATAATTTTACTGACTTTTTCATTTTACATGTCAAGGATCTAAGTGTTTTGGGAGCCTGTTTTCTCAAGATTTTAAAGCTCCCTGAGGCAGATCAGAGTATCTGAGACCCCTCCATTTTGGGGGGAACTCTTCCTTTGTTTATGAAATTCTTCAGAGAAATGCAATGGAATTGAGATTGAGTTGACAGCAGGTGGAATTTTTTACTCTTGAGCCTTTAAAAGCCAGCATAGTTTCTAACCAAACTTGTATAATATTTAAGAAAAAGCCATTTCTAAAATTATGGCTCATTTTTATCTTAGGTAAAATAACTCAGAAACAGAAAGTCAAATACTGCATGTTCTCACTTATAAGCGGAAGCTAAATAATGTGTATACGTGGACACAGATAGTGCAAAAATAGACACTGGACACTCAGAAATGTGGGAGGATATAGGGGTAGTTAGAAATGGGAAATTACCTAATGGGTACAACGTACACTATTTGGGTAATGTTTACACTAAAAGCCCAGACTTCACAATATATCTGTGTATCAAAACTGCACTTGTACCCTTTAAATCTATACAAATAAAATAAAATTATGGCTCATTCATATGGTGGAGGAACACCAAGCTTGCAATATAAAAAGCAAAATGTAGTTCTTTTTTCATTAATATGAAATGATACTGAAGATATATTAAGTGCAAAGAAAATTAGACTGTAGAATAGGATATTTGTGTTAAAAAGATTATTGATAGATAGATAACATATAAACTTGTATATCTAAAGGATTTTTTGAATAGAATATACAAAACACTAACAACTGATAACAGTCGTTTCTTCTTGGTGGGTTGGGGAAGAGAAAATTGGGGAAGCCATAAAAGATGAAGACTGGGTGGCAGGATGGAAGGAAGAAAATTCTTATTTAATTTCCTTTATTCCATTTGATATTTTTTAGGTATTATGACCTAAAAAAATCTATTATTACCTAAAAAATTTATGTATATTTTTATTTTTATTAAAGCCTAGTTAAATAAACTTATCATTCCATATGCCTAATGAAATAGTATACATTTTAACACAAAATTAACTTCTTTAGCAAGTTATTGTTTTGAGACACCCAAATCATTACTTTATATTGAACCTATGATTTAATACTCAGTTGTTTGCTCATTTTCAACACACAGCATATTTATGTAAATTGGGTCTCCACCAGGCACAGTGGCTCACACTTGTAATCCTAGCACTTTGGGAAGCAGATGCTGGCGGACAGCTTGAGCCCAGCAGTTTGAGACCAGCCTGGGCAGAATGATAAAATCCCATCTCTAACCACAACAACAAAAGTAGCTGGGTGTGGTGGCATGAACCTGTAGTCCCAGCTACATGGGAGGCTGAGGTGGGAGACTCACCTGAGCCCTGGAGGTCAGTCGAGGCTACAGTGAACTTTGATGGTGCCGCTGCACTCCAGCCTGGGTGATGGGAGTGAGATCCTATCATCTCAAAAAAAAAAAAAAAAAAAAGCCTATATGCTGTGATAGGGAATAGTGGTCTATCTATTCTTTCAGGGCAAAAGTTTCTTCAGGAAACTTTAAAGTTATTAATTAGGAATTCATAGCTTTGATAGAATTCTATATTGTAATAGCCTTTATCTATTTATTTTCCATTTCTTAGACTATTGGGTATTTAGATAAACGTCAATTCATCCTTCTCTTGCGCTGCCAAAAGAGAGGTCTCCTGGGAGTATCATCTGAGAAATGAAATCTGCCTAACCTGGAAAAAAAAAGTTGTGACATACAATTTTATTACTTTGGGAAATGCAATATTTAATGCATGGGAATAGCTTCCCTATAGCAGTTGATGACATTGCCTACATGAATCAAGAGAGATGCAGAGAACATACAGTTGCTAATTTTTAATGCCCTGAAGAAAAATACAGCATTTTAAGACTTTATCTTCAGTCATGTAGATAATTGCAATTTAATTTTGAGTAATTCTTAGATAATTCTTGATAATAGTCCATGAAAGTAGACTATTCATAAAATCTTAAGAGATTGGCCATTTTCTGGATTTATATATTTAAGAATACATTTCTCTTCTATTATTTCAATTCTTCTTATTTTAGAATCTGCAAAAAAGAGATCTTAACTATGAAAATTTTATCTTATTGTAGAATATATGTTGAAGTGTCAGAACCCAATGTTTCATTTGAAATATTACATGAGATTTGACAGAATAAAAATATGTCCTGGCACTGAGTAAGCAAATGAGAGGGAAGTGAAGGAGATTTGACTGAAATAGTCTATCTTTTTGCTAAGAATTTTTTGTTTTATATTCCACCTCTAGCCTTTTAAAATCCTAGTTTTGATTGCAGAAGCATTTCTCTCTTTTTTTTTTTTTTTTTTTTTTGAGACGGAGTCTTGCTCTGTCGCCCAGGCTGGAGTGCAGTGGCGGGATCTCGGCTCACTGCAAGCTCCGCCTCCCGGGTTCACGCCATTCTCCTGCCTCAGCCTCCCAAGTAGCTGGGACTACAGGCGCCCGCCACTACGCCAGGCTAATTTTTGTATTTTTAGTAGGGGTTTCACATTGTTGGCTAGGTTGATCTCCAACTCCTGACCTCAGGTGATCTGCCCACCTTGGCCTCCTAAAGTGCTGGAATTACAGGGGTGAGCCACTGTGCCCGGCCTCAAGTTTCTTTTTAAGTATCACCACCTCTGGAGACTTCTCATCCTTCTCCTCTGCTGCAGCATTGTCCACAGTATATTGAAGCTCTTTGCTCACTTGTTTCTTTCCTGAAATATCTTGCTTTCTTCAAAGATACCACTGTATCCCTAGTATCTGTTAATAAATAAAGGAATGAATCTACCACAAAGTCTGAGGAAAGAAACAAAGAACAGTGCTATTAAAATTATTAAGTAGGATGCAGATTTTATAATCGTTAATTAAAAAATAACATTCAGTTCATGGTATAAATTCGGGTAATCTGCTGAAAGTTACTGACCTTCTTACGATTATAAGGGAAACCCTCCTTTCCCCCTTTCCATCTTCTGTTTAGTTCATAAAACAAGAACTTAGACTCAAACGATGATTTTGCAAAGAAACCATTAACCTTTTTCTTGCTTCTCACTTGATGTTTTCTTTAGTAGAAAGAGTGATTTATATGACTGGTCTGATAGTGGGAGACTGACTTACATTGATTTACACTTTTTTTTTTCTAATGGCCACCATCAATATGCTCATGCTTATTGACCATAAGTGGCCTTTCCTCTTGAGCTCTGTGTGTAGTTGGAGGTGGGGCAACTAATGAAGAATGTGCCTGCTTTGCAAACCCAACTATCTACATATGTAAGTTCCAGTGCCTGCATATGTGAAGAAACCCATTGTGGTCTCAAGTACAAGAGTGATTTTCTAATCTAGCTGTATCAGATACAAATCAATACTACTATTTTATCTATAGTTAGCCCTTCTATTTCTTTCTTTTTTTGTTTTTTCTTTCTTTTTTTTTTTTTTTTTTTTGAGACAGGGTCTCACTCTGTCGCCCAGGCTGGAATGCAGTGGCAGTGGCGCAATCTCAGCTCACTGTAACCTCCACCTCCTGAGTTCAAGCGATTCTCCCACCTCAACCTCCCGAATAGCTGCGAGTACAGGTGCACCACCATGCCTGGCTAATTTTTTTTATTTTTAGTAGAGACAGGGTTTCACCATATTGGTCAGTCCAGTCTTGAACTCCTGGCCCCGAGTGATCCACCTGCCTCAGCCTCCCAAGTGCTAGGATTACAGGCATCAGCCACCGTGCCCCGCCCCTTCTATTTATTTCTAAACTGGTACAGAATTTGTTGATGTTTGGAGAGACTAGTACTCTCAAACCCAAACAACACTTAATAAACCTCATAAATAAACATATTTATATACGGTGATATGGTTAGGCTTTGTGTCCCCATCCAAATCTCATTTTGAATTGTAATCTCCATAATCCCCATGCATCAAGGGAGAGACCAGGTGGAGGTAATTGAATCATGGGGACAGTTTCCCCCATGCTGTTCTCATGATAGTGAGTGAGTTCTCACGAGATCTGATGGCATTATAAGGGGCTCTTTTCCCCTTTCCTTGGCACATCTCCTTCCTGCCACCTTGTGAAGAAGTGTCTTGCTTCCCCTTCACCTTCTGCCATGATTATAAGTTTCTTGAGGCCTCTGAGGCCATGCTGAACTATAAGTCAGTTAAACCTCTTTCCTTTATAAATTACCGAGTCTCAGGCAGTTCTTTATAGCAGTGTGAAAATTGACTAATACATACGGTAAAACAATCTTTTGGCTACCTAGATGCCAGCTATATTAAATGTTAGAACCGAAATGTAACTAGAGGTTACTTCAGTGATTTGATAGAAGATAGTCCATGGAAATAAGATAATTAGATTCTACTTCTAAGAAATGCATTCAAAACACAGAAATCAGAGCTGGCAAAATTTAGGCCTAACTTGGCTCTCTCACCACCAGACCACTGGAAACCCTTAGACATTCCAGCAAAGTTACTCTCTCTGGTTGACATTGCAGTCAAAACTTGGCTCTGCTTATGTGATGGTTTAGTTGGCTCCTGCATTTTATTGCTAAAGCTGGATTTTACTGAGTTCTTCTTTCTTTGACCTACATGAAAATGTAGCATCCCCTCCTTCTTCCACATAGGACAGAAACCTCCAAATGACCAGGATAGTGGGAAAAGACAGGATAGTATCTCTTCATTTGAATGTTACAGTAGGTAGTCAGACATGAGCAGGGCAGGAGAGCCACCCCCTCCAATACCAACCAAGAATGTCAGGCAACCATCAGGTGATGGTCTGGTGGTTGTTAAGTGTGTTTCTAAAATAGTAATTGGTCACAGCCAGTGCCAGGCAAAGATAGTCTCCCAGTAGATAGAAATCCGATACTGGTGATCAGCAGCTTCTTGATAAGATCTCAAGAGTTGGGCAAGTGAGCTCAAGCATGTGCACTAAGAGGCAAAATCATGGAGTTTAACTGCTATATGACCTTATAGGAACATTTGACTGGTAAGGGAAGAACGCCTCAAGTGAGCATGCGTACAACTCCAGTAAACACAATGCACATGCAGCCCCTCCCAAGTGCTGGCAGGCCACTGTGCATGTAAAATGCCAACGTATAAGACCCCAAGTCAAGGTCAAACCGGACACTTGATCTCTCAAGTGACTCACTTGGCTCTCTTCCAAGTGTACTTTATTTCCTTTCATTCCTATTCAAAAGCCTTTAAATAAACTTTAACAACTGCTGTAAAACTTGCCTCAGTCTCTCTTTGTCTTATGCCCCTTGATTGAATTCTTCCTCCTGAGGAGGCAAGAACTGAGGTTGCTGCAGACGCGTACTAATTCACTGCTGCTAACATACTTTGGTGCTGCATGAATTGGATATGTTCCCTAATGGTAAGAGAACATGATCTTCACTTTTCTGATTTAGAATAAAGATAAAGACATTAACTTTGAGATGATGTATTTACTTTTCCTCTCCATCCTAAGAAAGGGTCATTCCAGAAGTTCGTTCATATTTATTCATTATATGAATAAAATTTTTCCTCTTCAAGAATCCAGAACTTATGACTCATATTTGGGAAAATGCACTGTGGAAGGAGAATATAATCAAGAAATAGGTAAGGCTAAAGTTTCCTGAAAAAAAAAATTGATGAAGATTAGCCAAGAAAAGCTTTAGAACAGGAAGCACTTAGAAGAGACTACCATTGATTTCATTATGGGGAGTGGGGAGAAAGATATGGTTAGAAAGTATGTGGGGAGATGCCCAGGATTGGACTCCTTGTAAGTAACTCAATTCTTATTGTGATTTCCTTTTGGAAACTGTAAATATACTATTTAACATAAAGCCTTAATTTCGCTCCTTTTTTGTTTGGTTATCATCTTAAATTACACCAATGCTTCAAAAAAGAAAAGCACCTATATATACCTGCATATATAGAGAGATGGTCTTGCGGAGGCTAAAGAAATGAGGTGGTAAAGAGTTGGGATGACCTGACTCCACCCCCAGGAAAAAAAACAGCCTCCCATGCAGACAGTGACCATCATCTCAGAAAGAGTGCAACCTCAGCCCTCTCCATTTTGACCCTTAAGCTAGGTGTTGCTTCTCTCTAAAGGATGGGGCATGACACATCCCATGTCTCCCTTATAAAAATATATGCGAGCAAGAAAGCCTAGTGATCACTTTTGAAAAATAAAACTGTAGTAATTTTCTGTTGAAATATTGATTTGAATGAACATGAAAATCTTCTTTTATCTAGAACACAAGCAAAATGCAGTCTTCTTTCACAACTGAGGGAGAGCCAAAGATAATAAAACATGAAATTAGAATCTAGAGCCAAAAAAAAAAAAAACTGATGAATTATTCAGTTCTCACTCCTGCTTTGGAAACTGAGGTTTAAAGAGGTTAAAATCAAGGTCACCCAGTGGATGTGTGACAAGGAGTAGGGATGTGGAAACCAAGGCTTTTGTGTACAATCTGTGTTTCTTACACTCCAACCTGTGCCCATTCTGAGACAGTTTCAGACGGTGATGAAAAAAACCTCTCCATGCCCCAAATCAGCAATCAGAGTCCAAGAATGATCAGTTTTCTAGTCAGCTGTGCTGAATGAGCTCTATGACCTGGATTTCTCCTGCAATATCTTAGTTTTCCCTTGCCCAGTTACTTTTATGACCTATTTAATAAGTCATAAAATTATGTACTAAATTTAAAAAACTATAACTTGTAATACTATATTATAAGGATAATGTCATTGGTAAGGAATCCTAAGTAGACTATTACTTTTTTAATTTCTCAGATATCCATAAGTTCTGCTTGGGGGAACTGGTTTGAACTAGATACAAAGAAATTAGCCATATAACAGTTTATCTCTTTGGCAACCCCATTTTCCTAGTACTTCAAAATGACTCCTGCTTCAGAAATGAACACATATTCAAAGCCAGTGTACAAACTTAATGGTCATCCGGTAATATTGCAAAATATCATCTGACCTGCCCAAATACATATTTTTAGACAGTTCTATAAATGGCTCCTTCCCACGGGATACATATTTCTGTTCCATTTTTTGTGAATGAATATTCCCTGCTCCCACACCCTTCTTTACAGGAAGAGGAAGAAACACTGGAATTACTAAATGGAGCATGACTCTTTTTCCAGACAACAGGCCCAACCATGAGAATTAGAACGTCACTTGGCAGCTGGATCCCTTTTCTGTCCTCAGAGACGATGACACCTCAGGAAAGTGCTTACCTCCACATACTTCCTGAAGCCTTAAAAGGTCAAGAGTACTTATTGAGACACATTTTATTTTCCGCTGTCCAATCTAAAGGCATCACAATGTTTTTCAGAGAGATTTTAATTCTACAAAATGATTCAGTAAAAGACTGGATCTAAAATTTGTCATGTTAAAAACTACTAAAATCAGGTCATGGTACAATAATTTCCTACAGCTTATAATAATTATCATGAAAGTATAAGTCCTGCATTTCTGTTTCTTAAACTATAACGTTTTAAAAATTATTTAATATTGTTTTATCCTAATCATATTCAGATCAAACAAAGGTATAGTTGTTTTTTAACTGGCAAAAATGCAGGAAAAATGTGTAAACTTTTAAACAACCAATATTCAGAGTGAACTTTTAGAAAATGTTAAATTTATCCCTCAAGTAAACTGTTTGTTATTTGCTTATATTCCTTTAGAAATCCACCAGGAAACTCTGTCCATTACTCTGACATGATTGTACCATTAGGACCTCTCCTGGTAATTCTGTTTACCTCGTTTTTCATACTAAAAGCCAAATACTCATTAATAACTCTTCATCAAAGAAGACAGTCATTGTGGAGCACAGAAATTAAATAGGCATCCTAAAGATATTGGGATTCACTTGGAAGGAAAAATATAGAAAGCAAATTCGTGGTTGGTAAATATTGAGAGGCTTTTAACGACTAAGGTCTCATGTACTTCAATGCTAAAAAGCAGAAGCAAGCTGCTGGAAAGCTGGCTGCTGCAAAAATTTTTGAGCTCTTATCACATGACATTCTGAAAGCCTTTGGAAACATTAAAACATAAAAGTCACCACACTACTTCCTTCTGAGAGTTTCTAAATGCCACTGAGAGTTTCTAAAATGCCCTGATACCCTACAGCTCTTCACTCTTGGAATAAAGGATCCAGGATGTTTTAAACGTTACCTGGTTACATTGGCAACAATTATCCTGAGTCTTAAAATACTCCTTACATCAAAACTCACTTCTTAGATTCTATCATGTTCAAAACAAAATATTATAAAATGCATAGAAACTGATTGGATCCTGACAAATAATTATAGTTGGGTGTTTTTTTAATTAAAACTCTGATAATATTTAATTCATTCTTCTTATTTTTATAACTTTTGACATGTATGGATTAATTTTCAGATGTTTTTCCATTTTAAAGCAATAAATAAAATATAATCTAAGAGCTCATTTTTGGAGATATGTGTTATACAAAAGGTAATTTCTATTTTTTATGCAACACAGCATTTTAATTATTTAAAATATTGTAAGTCTGTTGGTAATGAATGGTGCTGTTGTCATTGATACTAGAGACAGTCTTGGAATGTGTGAAACTGGAATTGAAAGTTTAGATAGACTCACATCAGCTACTAAATTTAAGTAATAGATTTTTGTTTTTTTTTGTTTTTTTTTTTTTCTTTTTTTTGAGAAGGAGTCTAGTTCTGTTGCCCAGGCTGGAGTGCAGTGGCACGATCTCGGCTCACTATAACTTCAGCCTCCCAGATTCAAGCTATGCTCCTGCCTTAGCCTCCTGAGTAGCTGGGATTACAGGTACCCGCCACCATGCCCAGCTAATTTTTGTATTTTTCATAGAGATGGGGTTTCTCTGTGTTGGCCAGGCTGGTCTCGAACTCCTGACCTCTTGATCCGCCCTCCTTGGCCTCCCAAAGTGCTGGGATTACAGGCATGAGCCACCGCGCCGGGACTTCGTTGATTTTTTTGTCTGTTAACAACATCACTCAAACAAAGTACATAATTTGTCTTTTTTTCTTATGTAATATTCTATCTTTATTTTTCTTTTTAATTTTTGTGGGTACATAGTAAGGTGTATATATTTATGGGGTACATGGGATGTTTTGATACAGGCATGCAATGTGAAGCACTTCATAGAAAATGGGATATCTATCCCCTCAAGCATTTATCCTTTCAGTTACGAACAATCCAATTATACTCTTTAAGTCATTTTTAAATGTACAGTTAAGTTATTATTCACTGTAGTAACCCTATTATGCTATCAAATTGTACGGCTTACTCATTCTTTCTAACTATGTTTTTGTACCCGTTAACCATCCCCACCTCCCTCCCCAAACCCTGCCCACTACACTTTCCAGCTTCCGGTAAACATTCTTCTATTCTCTATGTACATGAGTTCAATACATAGACAGATTTGTATATTTGGAGCCTGGAAGTTGACATGGATCATATCTGAAGGCTCCAATAGTATCAATGCAGTTGGAATCAAGGTTTTGATTTTTAACTCCCAAAAATAAGTGAGAACATGTCATCTCTCTTTCTGTGCCTGACTTATTTCACATAACATAATGATCTCCAGTTCCGTCCATGTTGTTGCAAATGACTAGATCTCATTCTTTTTTATGACTGAATAGTACTTCATTGTGTATATGTACCACATTTTCTTTATCCATTCATCTGTTTATGGACTCTTAGGCTGCTTCCAAACATAATTTGTCTTTAAAGTCTGATTCTGTTCCTATCAGCCACTATTTGCTTCATAAAGAAATTTTCTTGCTGATAGACCTTTGTTTTACAGAATGAGAAATATCAAAGGTTTTGTCACTGAAATGAATGGTTCAGTTTTTACTTTACCCATATTAGCTCTTGTATCAGTGCATCCCTCTACTTTGCATCTCATGTATAAACTCCTCAAAGAGATTACTTACAACTTGTTTTCAATGTTTCTGACTTTTTCCTCCCTTTATTCTCTATAAAATCATCCATATGTCATCAAAGCACTAGGTAGAGCAAATTTTAAATGAAAAATAAGAATTAGAAGTTCCATCTTGGGTAAGAAGTTGCATAGATAAAGAAGCTAAAGTGGTCTAATAATAAATATTTAGATTACTTGTGTATCCTTGTTATACATTATTTCACTTAAAAGAGAATTTGATGATTGATGATTGATTTTATATTGCCAGATGTTATGACAAGGAGCTTTCCTAGAAGAACTCATAAAAGATCACGTTAATTTATTAAAATTAACTTTAATGATCATTAGAGAAAGTCAAGTAAAGATATCTGTCTCAAAAATGCATAGTGGTAGCTGGGTTTAGAGAAAGATATTCTTAAAGAAGTTTTTAGGTTAATTTTGGTACATCAAAATTGTTCATGGCAGAATTAGTTTACTCATTCATTTTTTAAAAATATATATTTATTGAGAGTCTATTATGCATCTTGCTAAGTGATGGAAAGCTATGGTCCTTGCTCTCAAAAAAGGCATGGTCCAGTGAGAAGATAGGCACAGCAAATGAAGTACAGTGAGTGGTTATGAAAGGGCTTTAAGCTAGATTCAGGATGATGGGAAATTGAAGAGGGCAATCCTTCTGTGGGAAATTTCTTAAATAATGAGCAGAAATTGGTCAGATACAGGTAGGTAGGCATTTGAGATCAGGAATAAAGGCTGAGGGACTTAAAGATAGAGGGGCTTGAAAGAGATGGTATGTAGGGCATTTCACTAATATTGCTAAAGCATAAAGTAGAAGATCAAAAATGGCAGTGAGTTACTAGATTGATGGGGAAAAGCCAGATTCCAGAGGGCTTGGGATGTCATGTTTGGGATGTTGGTCTTTTACTTATGAACAAAGAGGAGACATAGAAGTGTTATAAGCAGTTATAGACATGTGGAGAATGAATTTGAGGGGGTTAGCTTGAAACTAATTAGGATCCTGTTGTAATAATCCATTTTAAAGATACTGTCTATCCAGAATTTGGAAACTTCTAGTAAGAAAGAATAAGACTAGACAGATCTGATAAATGTGTTTTGGTGGTCAAGTCAGCAGGATATTTATTGAATTGGAAAACTTAAAATTCAGGTAGTAAGTAAACATAAATATAGTGTAGGTAACAAAGTAGATGGGAGAGCCCTAACTTGTATAAAAGACTCCAGAAAAGTAGGTTTAGAGAGGAAGAGGATAGGCTGAAGTTGCGACATTTTAATTTTAAAGAAGGTTTTATTTAGGTCATCCAAATGGAGTTATCTGGCAGGCACTGGTATATACAAGGCCAAAACTCAAAGGAGATTTCTAATCAGAAATATAAATATCAGTATTTAAAATAATGAGTGAGCTGAGATCTCCCAGTAAAAGTGTATGGAATGAGATCAGTAGCCCAAGAATATGGTCTTTGAAAGTAGTTTTAGGTGGTCAGAGGAGGAAAGCCCAATAAGAAGACAGAATGGGATTGGCTAGACGTTATAAGAAAATTTAAGCTGGAAAATGAAGTGTCAAAGAAGCCTACTAAGCATTAAAGTTTTATGTGTTTTTGTTTCTAGAAAGCTGGACAGAACAATTATCAATCTTAATTGAAACAGAAAAGTCCAGAAGGAGAAAGAATAGTATCTGCCTATTCATTGGTGATAAGGAAGTCACTAGTATCTTAGTAAGTGATTTTTCCAGAGTTGTAATGGGGAAGAATCCTTATGCCTATGTGTGAGGAATGATTACACAGATGAAAAAATAGAAATAGAAACTAATCTTTTGAGAAGTTTGATGAGAAAGGAAGGAGAAAGATGAGATGGTTCTTAGAAGGAGATATTGCATTAAAGGGAAGTTTGTTTGTTTATAATGGGGAAGAGTTGAGCATATTTGTGGGCTCAGAGGTTACAGCAAATTAAGAGAGAGAGAGAGAAGTTGGAAATACAGAGGTAAGAGGTAAGGTAAGGTAAGACAACTAAGAGCAAGGAATCTTGGAATCAGGAGAGCAAAGATTTGGGGATTGTTTAAAACATGAGGGATTGAGTTCTTAGCTAGGAGAGAAGGAAAAAATCTTGGGTTTATACATAGACAGATTTGTATATTTGGAGCCTGGAAGTTGACATGGATCATATCTGAAGGCTCCAATAGTATCAATGCAGTTGGAATCAAGGTTTTCTGCTGAGAAAGAAGATTGTGGGAATTGATCGGAGAACTTAAGAAGATTGATTGGGATCTGGAATAATCACTGACAGGAATGGAAGAGGTAATTGACCAAGGACAAATAAAAACATTAACTACTGGTACAGAGGAGCCATCTGAGATTTGAAATTGTGTACTAAAGATGACCACAGTTTGATTTGTTTGGTGATTTTCTGCACTTGTGCTCAGAGTCCAGGGTATATGAGCACAGAAGGCATATTTTAGCATTAATGCAGAGGGCAGAAGAGGAAGATGAACGCAAGGAAATTGAGGGTAATCTGAAAGTCATTTAGATAATGAGATATAGATTTGCGGATACAAAAGATAGCAGAGATTGTAGGAGAGGCTTGATAGTCTGAAAGAACATGGAGGGGGAAAAGAAAACTGGAGAATCAAAGTTGTCAAGGACAGATGAAAATAAATATGCAAGGGGCTTTAAAGGAATGTCTTGGCCAGGGATTAAAACTAAAGAAAAATCATTGAACACAACATGGCTATCTAAGGAGTAATTTGAACAAAAGTATAATATTATCTAGCATTTATAGTAATCTTTCTCTCTCTGGGGTGATCTTCTCTCATTAGTCATTTTTCACTTAATTTCTGTTCTAGTGAAAACAAAAAAGTTATTACTTTTAGACAGGTACTGTGTGCTCTTAAGAGTGTTACCAAAGATTATAGAAAGTTTGTGAAGAAAAAATATAAGTTACAGTGCTTGTTGGGAAATTAGATTGAAGGGGCCACTCAAAAACTTGAATAAAGTTTTACTATGTTTTTCTTATTTGTTTAAGTATAGGTTGTTTCACAAAACACTGCTGTACAACTAACTCCATGCTTAACTACAGAAGTTAAGTGGGAGGGGAAAAAAAATAACAGTGCTTAAGTGGAGATGAAGATGTCCATGTTCTGCTTGATGAAACCTTCAGAAGAAATACCAGCACTAGTTCAGTTTGTGTGTGTGTGTGTGTGTGTGTGTGTGTGTAACAGAGCAAGTTAAATGTCTAATGAAGTCTATCAAAATTTAACAAAATAGAGTTGAGGTGAGCTATAGGATTCCTTATATCCTGTAATATATCACAGACTGAAAGATTCTAGAATGCTCTTATAGACATCCTTCTGTGTCTCTCTTCTTCCTCTATCCAAAGTTAAAAATAAATACACAAATAAACTCTGTCCCAAATACACACTCCAATGGCTACTTACCTTTCTCTTCCTTCTCAACTAACCTTTCATTCTTTTCTCCATATACAAATCTCAGCCTTCCCCTTCATTAACATTAATTACATTGGATTGTAGGGAAGTGAGGCGGAAAGTAGGAGGGCTGAAAATCTAACAAATTAGTATTCTTTTCTGTTGGCCAAACTGATGCTAAGATATTACTAGGATGGCACTATGATATCCAAATGCTGTTATCTTATGTTTGTAGATTAGTCTATGGAATAAAGTAGAAGTGCTGTTAGCCTTATAAAGTAAAATACTTTATTTTTGGAGAAGAACAATCTCTCTCAAGTTAATATTTTCAGTCCGGTCTGATATCATGTAGTGGTGAAAGTGAGACAGCCAAGTATAAAGGGGACCCCGAAAAGCCTCTGACCAGCCTGCGCACTGGGGTGTGCAGGAAGTTAGCGTTGTTTGCAGGGGGTGGAGCCTGCCCCTTCCTCTTCCTGGGAGGTACCTGGGATTCAATCTGCGAGGCAGGAAGCATAGCGTATCAAGGGTCTCTCTCTGCTGAGAGTCCCTGTTTCCCCTTCTTTCCTTTTTGCCCAATAAATTCCATTTTCCTCACCCGTCAAAGTGTCTGTGAGCCTAATATTTCAGGGTCATATGACAAGGACCCCATTTTTAGCTGAACTAAGAAGAAAGTCCTACAACAAAAGCTTGGGCTCTGGAGTTAGGCTGGCTAGGTTATAAATCCTGGATCTTCAACTTATTAGCTGTGTGCCCCTAAGCAGGTTATTTAGCCTCTCAATATTTGCATTCCCTTACCTGTAACACAGGAGACGTGATAGCAGCGCCAAACTCAGTGTTATTATGAGGACTAAATGCGATATTGATGTTATACAGCAAGTCTCCAATAAATGTTAACCATTATTATTTTGACTGCTAATACAGAGAAAAGAAAAAGGGAAGTCAAAGAGAAAAGAATTTAAACACGTGTTAGTTTATTTCTGAAATAGTCCGCAAAATAGATACCAGAATTTTTACTTCTGGGTACATTGAAGTACTCAAAGCTAGCAGATCAGCAAACCTTTAAGGGTTTTTGACAGTGGGTTTGCTGGAAATGACATGGCTATTTAGCTTATAACTGAACTCAGGGTGAAACAAATTAGAAAGATAAAGATAATTTCTAACTAATAGATGGCTCTTAATAGTTATGTATCGCATGATAGAAACTGATACTGATAGAAACTAACATTGTTCCTTGAGCCAATAATAAAAGATTATTGAGAAAGATTATTAACAGGCACCTTAAGCAATTATTACATTATCAGTGTTGTTTTATAAAAAATAATTGATTCCATGAAATGTTATTATGTGTAGTTTTTACCTTTAAAAATGGTGGTGAAGACCAGGCGCGGTGGCTCTTGCCTGTAATCCAAGCACTTTGGAAGGCCGAGGTGGACGGATCACGAGGTCAGGAGATCAAGACCATCCTAGCTAACACGGTGAAACCCCGTCTCTACTAAAAATACAAAAAATTAGCAGGGCGTGGTGGCAGGTGCCTGTAGTCACAGCTACTCGGGAGGCTGAGGCAGGAGAATGGTGTGAACCTGGGAGGCAGAGATTGCAGTGAGCTGAGATTGCGCCACTGCACTCCAGCCTGGGTGACAGAGTGAGACTCCATCTCAAAAAAAAAAAAAAAAAAAAAAGGTAGTGAAAAATATGTGGTACTATAGTGAATGTCCACTCTAACCCATGCTTTACATTTCAGATTAGGTGACTGGTATTCCTACTATCACCTGTTGATAGGATAGCAATTCTATAGTTTAAAGCAGTAAATAAAATTCTTGAAATTTGAATCTGTAGCTTAGAGCCATGTAATAGCACTAAATCTTACATATAGGGTCAAATCTTCTTACAACTCTACAACAAGCAAATGATCCATAATCTCTACTTTTCTGAATTAATCCATTGAGATTCCAGACCATTTACTACCTACCACATATTGCCTTGTATAATTAATTAAACTTCTCTGGTTTATGACTTCACTCCTCAAGTCATAAGTTCCTTGAAAGCAACATTATTTGGCATCTAGATGTGACCTAACATACCTGATATGGTTTGGCTCTGTGTCCCCACCCAAATCTCAACTTGAATTGTAATAATCCCCATATGTCAAGGGTGGGACCAGGTGGAGATAATTGAATTATGGGGGCATTTTTTCCTGTGCTATTCTGATGGTAATGAGTGATCTCACAAGATCTGATGGTTTTATAAGGGGCTTCCCCCTTCGCTCAGCACTTCTTTCTCCAGCCACCATGTGAAGAAGGGCCTGTTTGCTTCCCCTTCTACCATGATTGTAGGTTTCCTGAGGACTTCCCAGCTATGCGGAAGTGTGAGTCAATTAAATCTCTTTCCTTTATAAATTACTCATTCTCAGGCAGTTCTTTATAGTAGTATGAGAACAGACTAATACAATACCATTTTACACAACAGTCAGGTTTGAATCATAAAGAAAACAGATGATCAAAAAACCTTTTACATGCAACTTTTATTTGTATACTTGCATACTCTATGTGGAAGTGGACTTCCATTTTTTTAATTGGACTTTTTTTCTTCCTATTGAGTTTTTTGTCCTTATATCTTTTGGATATTAACCCCTTATTGAATGTATGGCTTGCAAGTATATTCTCCCGATCAATAGGTATCTTTGCACACTGGTAACTGTTTCCTTTGCTGTACAGATGCTTTTTAGTTTGATGTAATCTCATTTGTCTAATTTTGTTTTTGTTGCCTGTACTTTTGGGGCAAATCAAAAAAAATTATTGCCCAGACCCAAGTCATGTAGTTTTCCCCGGTTTTCTTCTAGTAGTTTTACAGTTTGTGGTCTTACATTTAAGTCTTTAATCCATTTTGAGTTATTATTCTTTATAGTGTGAGATAAGAGTACAATTTCTTTCTTCTACATGTGGAAATTCAGTTTTCCCAGCACTATTTATTGAAGAGACTGTCATTTTCCCATTGCATATTCTTGGCACATTTGTCATAAATCACTTGGCTGTATATGTATGAATTCATTGCTGTTCCATTCTCTATTCTGTTCCATTGGTCAATGTGTCTATTTTTTGCCAAAACCATGCTGTTTTAATTACAATAATTTTGTAGTATAGTTTGGAATCAGGTAGGGTGATATTTCCATCTTTGTTGTTTTGCATATGACTGCCTTAGCTATTTAGGGTTTTTGTGGATCCACATGAATCTTAGCATTGTTTTTTCTATTTCTATGAAAAATGATGCTGGAATTTTGATAGACATTGCATTGAATCTATAGATCACTTTGGGTAGTATGACCTTTTTTTTACAATATTATTTTTTTCAATCCATGAACACAGACTATCTTTTTATTTATTTATATCTTCTCTAATTTATTTTATCGATGTTTTATAATTTTCAGTGTACAGGTCTTTTACCCTTTTGTTAAATTTATTCCTAAATATTTTATTTTTGTAGCAATTGTGAATGGGATTGTTCTCTTTAGTTTCTGAATCATTTGTTATTACTGCATACAAATGCATCTACTGATTTTTGCGTGTTGATTTTGTATCCTGCGACCTCAGTCTATTTGTTTTTTAGTTCTAACAGTTTTTCAATGCAATCTGTGGGATTTTCTTATATAAGATGATGTCATCAGCAAACAGTGACAATTTCACTTCTTCCTTTCCTATTTCAATGTCTTTTATTTCTTTCTCTTGCCTAATTGCTCTGGCAATAATTTCTTTATTAATACCTTATTAAAGTGATGACAGTGGGCATTCTTTTGGTCAGACCTTAGAGAAAGGGCTTTCAAGTTTTCACAGTTAAGCCTAATGTTAGCTGTGGGATTTTCATAATTGGCCTTTATTGTACTGAGGTACATTTCTTGTATATCTAATTTGGAGAGTGTTTTTTGTTTTTTGTTTGTTTGTTTGTTTTGTTTTGTCTTTTTGAGATGAAGTCTTGCTTTTGTTGCCCAGGCTTGAGTGCAATGGTGCGATCTCGGCTCACTGCAACCTCCACCTCCCGGGTCCAAGCAATTCTTCTGCCTCAGCCTCCAGAGTAGCTAGGATTACAGACACACGCCCCCATGCTGGGCTAAGTTTTGTATTTTTAGTAGAGACGGGGTTTCCCCATGTTGGCAAGGCTGGTCTTGAACTCCTGACCTTGTGGTCCACCCTCCTCGGCCTCCCAAAGTGCTGGGATTACAGGCATGAGCCACCGCACCTGGTGAGATTTTTTATCATGAAAGGGCATTGAATTTTGTAAAATGCTTTTTTGCACCTAATGAGAAGATTGTATGGTGGTTTTCTTTCATTCTGTTAATATGATGTTATCACATATATTGATTTGTGTATGTTGACCCATCATTGCATTCCGGGCATAAATTCTATTTGATCATGTTTCATGATTGTTTTAATATATAGTTAAATTCTGTTTGCTAGTATTTTGTTGAGGATTTTTGCATTTGTGTTCATCAAAGATATTGGCCTGTAATTTTCTTTTCTTTTAATGTTTTTGTCTGGTTTTAATATCAGTGTAATGCTGGCTTTGTAAAAAGAGTTTAGGAGTATTCCCTTTTCTTCAATTTTTGGGAAGAGTTTGAGTGGGATTGGTGTTAGTTAATCTTTAAATGTTTGGTAGAATTCAGCCACAAAGCCATCAGGTCCTGGGATTTTCTTTAATTAGAGACTTTTCAATCACTGATTTAACCTTCTTACTCATTGCAATTTTATTCAGATTGACTGTTTCTTCATAATTTAGTCTTGGTAGGTTTTATTTGTCTAAGAATTTATCCGTTTCTTGTAGGCTGTCCAACTTGTGACATATAATTGTTCATAGCCTCTTATGATTCTATTTCTGTGGCCTTGGGCGTCATGTTTCTTCTTTCATATCTGCTTTTATTTATTTGAGTCTTCTCCTTTCTTTTCTTAGACTAGCTAAAGATTTGTCAATTATTTCCTTTTAAAAAATTCCTCTCTTAGTTCCATTGATTCTTAAGTTATTTTTTAGTCTCTATTTCATTTATTTCTGCCCTGATCTTTATTATTTACTTCCTTCTGCTAACTTTGGGCATAGTTTGTTCTTTTTCTACTTCTTTGAGGTATTATGTTAGGTTTTATATTTGAGACTTTTCTCCTTCTTTGATGTAGGCATTTACTGCTATACTTTTCTTGTAGAACTGCTTTTGCTGTGTCCCATTTTTCCGATTTTTATTTGTCTCAAGATATACATTTAATTTCTTATTTAATTTCCTCATTACTGCATTGACTTTTTAAGAGCATGCTGTTTAATTTTCATGTATTTGTAAATTTTCTGACATTCCTTCTAATATTGATTTCTAGCTTCATACCATTGTGGCTGGAAAAAAACTTGATATAATTTCAGTCTTAAAATTGCTGAAGCTTACTTTGTGGCCTAACATATGATCCATCCTGGAGAATGTTCTGTGTGTACTTGAGAAGCATGTGTATTTTGTTGCTCTTGGATGGGATGTTTCTATACATGCCTCTTAGGTCAATTTGATCTAATGAGTTATTCAAATCCAAAGTTTCCTTATTAATTTTCTGTCTGGATGATCTGTCCATTGTTGAAATTATGGTATTGAAGTCCCCTACTATTGTTGTATTGCACTCTATCACTTTCTTTAGATAGATCCTCTAATGTGTGTTTTCTATAATTAGGTATTCCAATGTTGTGTGCATATATGTTTACAAGTTTTAAATTCTTTCGATGAATTAACCCCTTTATCATTGTATAATGTTCTTTTCTGTGTCTTAAAAAAATTTTTTTTCCTTAAAGTCAATTTTGCCTCAAATAAGTTTAGCTGCTTTTGTTCTCTTTTGGTTCATCTTGGTGTAGAATTATTTTTCCATCCCTTCACTTTCAGACCATGTGTGCCTTTAAAGATATCTCTTCTAGGCACCATATATTTGGGCTTTGCTTTGTTTTGTTTTTGTCCATTTAGTCATTCTGCGTATTTTTATTGGGAAATACAATGCATTTACATTCAAGGTAGTTATTGATAGGTAAGGACTGAGGACCGCCATGTTGTTAGTTGTTTTCCAGTTGTTTTCTAGAAACTTTGCTTTCCTGTCTATTGCTGTCTTCCTTTGTGGTTTGCTGGGGTTTTCTGTAGTGATATGCTTTGAATCCTTTCTGTTTTGTTTAGTGCTTTTACTGAATATTTTTGCTTTGTGGTTACCATAAGGGTTATGTGAATAACATGTACTTATAATGGCCTATTTCAAGCTAATAATAATTTAACTTGGATTGTGTCTAACAAATCTACACACTTTTACCACTCCCCACTTTTAGGTTTTTATGTTACAATTTACATCATTTTGCAATTTATATCCCTTGAAAATTTATTTTAGCTATTGTTTTCTCTGTTTTGTATTTTAGCCATTTTCCTGGGAATAAAATTGCATTAGATACCATTATAACAGTCCTAGAATATTCTGAATATGGTCCTATTTATACCATTAAGTTTTATGCTTTCATATGTTTCATGTTATTAATTAGCAGCTTTTGGTTTCAGTTTAAAGAACTCCCTTTAGCAATTACTGTAAGGCAGATACAGTGGTGACGAATTTCCTTAGCTTTTGTTTATCTGGAAAAGTTTTTATTTCTCCCTCATTTCTGAAAACATCTTGGCTGGATAGGGTATTTTTGGTTAGCAGATTTATTTTTCTTTAGCACTTTGAAGATGTCACTTCACTCTCTCCTTGTCTGCAGGGTTTCTGCTGAGAAATTTGCTGATAGTGTATTGGCAGTCTTTTGTATGTGATGTGTATCTTACCTTTTTCTTTGATTTTTGTTACTTGGATTATTATGTACCTTGGTATACTCCTTTTGGTCTTGAATTTAATTGGAGACCTCTGCACTTCCTGTGTCTAGGTGTTGACGTCTATCTCCATATTAGGGAAGTTTTCAGCCAAATATTATTTAAATATGCTTTCTGGCCATTTTTCCCTTTGTTCTCCTTCTGCAACTTCTATTATGTGAAGGTTTGGTCTCTTGATGCTGTCCCAAAATTCTGGTAGGCTTTCTTCATTTTTTCTCATTCTTTTGTCTTTTTGCTTTCCCAGCTGTTCTATCTCCCAGCTCACTGGTTCATTCTTCTTGACTGTGTCTGCTCTTGAAACATTCTATTAAATTCTTCAGTTCAGTTATTGTAGTCTTCATCTGAAGGATTTCTATCTTTTTTTTAATCATGAAACTAACCCCAAAAAGACATTCTTTTAAATTTTATGTTCTGAGATACATGTGCAGGAAGTGCGGGTTTGTTATATAGGTAAAACATGTGCCATGGTGGTTTGCTACACCTGTCAACCCACCACCTAGGTATTAAGCCCAGCATGCATTAGCTATTTCTCCAAATGCTCTTTCTCCCCCTAGCCTTTCCCACAACCCCCAACAGGCCTCAGTGTGTGTTGTTCCTCTCCCTGTGTCCATGTGCTCTCACCATTCAGCTCCCACTTATAAGTGAGGGCATGTGGTGTTCAGTTTTCTGTTCCTGCATTAGTTTGTGGAGGACAATGGCTTCCAGCTCCAACCATGTCCAGATTATTTTTTATTGTTTCTATTTCTTTGTCAAACTTCTCACCTTTTTTGTGTATTGTTTTCCTAATCTTATTAAATGTTCTATTCATATGTTATTGTAGTTCACTGAAATTAAGAGTGTTAATCTGAATTATTTCTCAGTAATTTCATAGATGCCCTTTCCTTTGAGGTCTATTTTCAGAACTTTATTAGTTTCTTTTGGAGGTGTCATATTTCCTGAGTCCTCATAATTCTTGTGTCCTTGCATTGTTGTCTACACATTTGAGGAAACAGCCTCTTCTCTAGGCTTTATAGGAGATCTTTGTCAGGGATAAGCCTTCACTGTTTAGTCTAGCCTGTGATTGTGGAAGGGCCTGCTGCTATGACCCTGGACAGGCAGACCTGTTGAATTCTCTAGTTGACTGAGCCCCTCCTTCTGCTCTGATGTTTGTTGGGGCTGCTGGCTAGGTTCTGCTGTCCAGTGAGACCACTGGCTAAGCTCTGCTATCAAGTAAAGGTACTAACTGGGCTCCTAGGGTAGGTGTAGTCTCTGCTTGGGACAGGCAGGGCCAGAGGCTCTAATCCTTAGAAATGCGTAACTGAAGATTGAAATCTGTGAAGATGAATGTATCCCTGCTTTGGCGCAGTTGTGGGTGGGCTTTTTGACTGAGTGGAGCTACTACTTGACTTCCTGGGTCAACCCAGTCTAGCCCTTTTGCTTCTCTGAAATCCATGGGGGTGGGAGTCTCCCTGGCTGGGTGGGATCATTTGGCAGGCATCTTGGCTGGTTGAAGCTGCTGCCTAACTTTTTGGTTCAAGCTGTTCTAGCCCATACACTACTCTGAGACGTATGAAGATGGGAGTCTTTCTGCCTGGGTGAGGTCATTGGGAGTGCCTATTGATTGAGTGGAGCTTCTGCTTGCCTTCCTAGCTCAAGCTTGCCTAGCACCTTTTCTTCTCCTAAATAGGGCATATAGAAGACCTGGGAAGAGCATTAAGGCTGTGTGGGGACATGAGCTAAGGATTCGAGCCTAAAATAATTATGGACTATGTTTTCTGCAGTGTGATCCTCTTGGCTAGTTTCTCTGGTGTGGTGCCTCCCTTGCCTGGAATGTGGAGTAGCCACCAAGTTCTGTACACTGTGAGCTCTACCTATATTCTTTGTTTCTAGCTCATCTTAGGTGGTCTGACTCTGCCTGTGTTGCCAGTGTTTCTTGTGGGATGAAAGAAGAGTGGGTCCTAGAATGGTAGACAAGCTGCATGTCGATTTACCTCACTTTTCCTACTGTGAAAACCATGGTTCCAGAGGAATTCTCCATGTGTGGTGCTGGGCTGACTTTGGGGAGGGCTGGTGCACTCAAAGAGAACCATTCTTTTTACCATTTGATTACAGCTTTCCTTGGTGCTGCAGTCCAGTGGAGGTGTTTCAGCTTCACTCCCAAGTTATGGGATATTTGGGATGCTATTCTTGTCTGTGAATAGTTGCTGGTTAGCTTCTGTGGTTGTGTGTGAGGAGGGGTGGGGAGATGGAATGGGCTGGGGAGATAGAATGGAGCCAAAGAACTCCTATTCCGCCATCGCTCCACTCCTGACATACTTTTAATACTGTAGTGTTTATGAATTGAGACTACCCTCCCAGAACTAATTCAATAATAAGCCTTTATTTTTATTTTCAAATATTCTATAAAATTCATAAGACATGAAAGAATAATTTCCTCTTACTGACGGTCTTTTTCATGATGACCACAGTCCCTCATTCCAGAAGTCTGAAATTACAGGTTTGAATCTTTTTACATTACAATCAATTATAAAGTTGCATTTCACAAAATATTATCACAGAAATATGTGAAAAAAATTTAGTGCTCACAGTACTCTGTTCCATTCATTAAGTTTAAAAAAGTCTGAATCCAAAGGTGGTTAACACAATAATAAATGACCTGCGTGGCTCCTTGCCTCTTTAGCCAGTCTTCCTTCCCAATTACAAACACTCAACCTACACTTGTTGGTGAGTTTGTCCCAAGCTTTAGTATATATTTAGGGGGTAATTTTAGTTCAGAATTTCAGCAAGCTAATATACTGAGCCTTCATTTCCATCAAACAGGCCCAAAGGCCCTGTTTTGTATTTCTCCGTGTCTGAGTTCCTGCTTTGATAACCAGCCCCCCAATTTCTCTAACACAAGAATCTTGCCTTGCTCTCATTAGTCCTTGAAGCCAGAACACCCCCACCTTATGTCCTACTAGATCGTGGAATTTTGGGGGGATGCACATAAATGGGGAGAAGCACACAAAGTAAGATATGTTCTATTTCCCTCTTCTCGCAAGTCACGTTACAAATAACTTCTCTAGCAGCCTGGAAACTTTCTAGTTCCTGGACTGGGGTATGGCATAAGGCAGGTTTTAGTTCCTGGACTGGGGTATGGCATAATGCAGGAATGCATTCTCTGCATAGAAAAAGGCAATTGTGAATGAGCTGCCCTAATTGTGCGTGAAGACAGGGGAATTGTCTCCTGGCCTGAAGCTCTTTGCCCTAAAGCATGGGAAGAGCCATTCAAGAGAAATTGTAACTCAGAAGCTATGTTGCATACTGGTGAAAAGCCTAACATAATTTAAAATCTTGTTTGGTACTGGTAATCTCTGTACACTCCTGACAGGCAACTTTGAAGTAATCCCATAGGGTGGCCATTAAGACCCATGCACAAGTGTCTGATAGAAAATAACTGTCTGTGAACATGGAAAATACATATGATAATTAGAAAAAAACATGAGGCTAAGCGCAGTGGCTCATGCCTGTAATCCCAATACTTTGGGAACTGAGGTGGGAGGATCACTTGAGGCCAGGAGTTCAAGACCAGCCTGAGCAACCTAGTGAAACCCCGTTTCTACAAAAAATAAAAATTTAAGAAATAGCTGGATGCAGAGGCATCTGCCTGTAGTCCCAGCTACCCAGGAGGTTGAGGAAGGAGAATCACTTGAGCCCAGAAGCTTGAGGTTGTAGTAAGGAATGTTCATGCCACTGCACTGCAACATGGGTGACAGTGCAAGTTTCTGCCTCAAAAGGAAGGAAGGAAGGAAGGAAGGAAGGAAGGAAGGAAGGAAGGAAGGCAGGCAAGAAGAAAAGAAGGCAGGGAGAGACGGAGGGAAAGACAGAAAAGAAAGAAAACCTATAAAAAAGTATAATCCTGTGAGTCCACAGATGAGACAGAGAAAAATCTGGAAAGGATTTTAAAATAAGTATGCTTAAATTCTTCAAAGAGACATAGAAAGGAATAGAACCCACAAAATAAGAATGGAAATATTCGAAAAAGACTATCCTAGAAAACTTAAAAGTAAAAAATCTATTGAAGGCTGGGCACGGTGGCTCATGCCTGTAATCCCCGCACTTTTGGAAGCCGAGGCGGGAGGATCACTTGCGGTCAGGAGTTTGAGACCAGCCTGGCCAACATAGTGAAACCTCGTCTCTACTAAAAGTACAAAAAATTAGCTGGCCGTGGTGACGCATGCTTGTAATCCCAGCTACTCAGGAGGCTGAGGCAGGAGAATCGCTTGAACCTGGGAGGCAGAGGTTGCACTGAGCTGAGATGTCACCACTGCGCTACAACTTGGGTGGCAGAGTGAGACTCCATGTCAAAAAAAAAAAAAAACTATTGAAATTAGTATTATTAGAACTATTATTATTTAACCGATTAAGGAATAGTCTAGAACAGTGAACAGAGAATTGTTGAACTAGAATATACGTTGGTAATTCAGATTAAATTGCAAAGATATAAGAAAATGAGAAATATTGACAAGGAAGAAGATAGAATGAGAAGCTTCAGTACATGTCTAATATTAGTTCCAGAAGAAGAGAATGAGAGAGTCAATATTTAAAAATGCATACTGAATGTAAAATGCAAACGTAGATACATCATAATGGAATTAATATTATAGTCACAGAGAAGGTCACAAAATCCACCAAGAAAATTGCCACCTATTTCTTTTGGAAGAAGTGCTCAAGAGGAAGCACAAGTCAGAGATCCTAACTACTCCTCTGTCCTAGGTTGGAACAGCCTAAAGGTAACTTCCTTTTTCAGTTTCTGTGGTCCCAATTCATGAAGTACTGTGCTTACCTCATTTTAGGGATAAAAAGTTCTTTTCTTTCTATACTCCTCCTACTTCTTGGTCCTATTCTCTTTCCATTCTTTAACTTCTGTTGGGAGAGGGTTTCATGGTGAAGAAGACCACTTGGAGAGATTTCATAGGAATATCCTCATATGTGAGTTGTTCAGGACTAATGGAGAGTGTGCACAGAGACACACAGGAGAGTTGTCATGGCTGCCCATATTCCCCACTCTGGATTGATGGAGAGTGTGCACACACACAGACACACATAGTTGTATATTTGGCTGCCCACATTCATCACAAAAGATGCGTAGTTTTGTGTTTATCAATCACTTGGATTTGCTTTTCTGTGAATTGACTGTTCATATCCTTTTCCCTCATATCATTTAGGTTGTTAAACTTCTAAAAATCATTTGCAAAATTTATTTATGCATTACAGATGTTTTTTATCTGTCATCTACATTTCAGTTTTTTCTAAACTGTTGTTTGCTTATCAAACTTCATATATTTTTGCATACAAAAATATATTTTTATAACGTATTGCTTTTTCTTGGTTTGGAAAGACCTCTTCAATGTGTTTCTTTTTCTTGGTTTGGAAAGACCTCTTCCATCTCTAGGTTGTAAATATGGTGATTTTTATTTGGTGCTTGAACCTGGGCCACGGTAAATAGTCATTATTACATTTTCTATAATACACATTATAGAAAGTAATATTTCTTGATATTCTCTTCTCCTAATGTTGACCATCAGAAGTATTTATGAAATATGTGCATATTTCTGTGGAAGGGAGCATTGGTCATCAAAGAGAGAAATTCTACTTTATTTGATGACACAGTAGACTATAGCATTCATAATATAACAGATTTAATGCCAATTGTGATGATAATACCTTTCCACTGGAAAGTTGTTAGCTATAAATATAAATGATGAGATAAATGATTAATGCTTATTAGCAGATGATGAACGTAATTACAAATGCATGTAATAAGTATCTTTGTAACACTTGTAAGAAGTGTAATGTACCCTTTTAAATGATAATTTGATTTTTAGATGTGGCCAATAATTGTAGCTGACATTTATTTTATGGCAATGTTCTAAGATCTTTACATATAGTAGTTAATTTCAGGCTCACAATAACCTGGAGAGGTAGGCCATATATTTCTCATCCTTTTATAAAAAACTGAGGCAGTCTTAAGTAAAAGTCACATAAATAGTAAGTGGTGCAGTGAAACCCAATCAACTCTATATTATCTCTCAAAACTGCTAAAAACCATCTAGTATACAGATTTTTAAATAATATGTTAATTAAATCTATTTTAATAAGGAGAAGAATAAACATTTAATAGTTTAACTAAAAAACTTAGAAAAAATTTATAGTTGGTGTTCTGTGTACTTAATGTAATTATATTTGCAATCCAGGATTTCATCATTTGCATTTATCATTCAATAAAAGCTAATTTTCAGAAGTACTTCTAGAGAGAATGCTCATTAAAAGATAACTTTGCAAAAAGTAAAATGTAATTTAGAGAAATGTATTGTTCCATACAGTACTAGCCTTAGGCAGTAATCACGCCACACTCAAATTAATAAGTTAATGTAGACTTTAAGGGAAAAATAAAATGACCATTTTCATGATTATTAATTTGATTAAAAGTTTTGAGATATTGAGTTCATCTGGATCCTATAGACAAGTCCATTTATAGAAACATATTAGCTTCGTTTAATATATAAAAAATAAAACTGTGTGTCTAGTATTTTTTTGGCACAATATATTAGAGGGTTTAAATTCACAGAGGAGAACTGATGAATAGTGTGTTGAATTTATCAAGCAGGGCTTGGAAAATTATACTACATGGACAAATTCTTCCATATGAAATAGGATCTGTGAATACATATTGTTGATAATATTTTCATGCATATACACAAAAGCATGCTTATATTAATCTTTAGACCTCCAAGTTTGCTAAATGATGATAAAGAGACTGCTTGTCTCAAGAGACTGTTCTGAAGATAGAGAATAAAAAAGAGAAGAAGCAATTTTACGAGTATTGTATTTTAATGAAGAAATGTTTCCTTAGTATCTAGAGGATAAACCCCTAACTTCTTAGTATGGATGAAGCCTCCAGGACATGGGCGTTACCTATATACCTGACTTGTCTTATCCACAGCCACTTCCCCGTTGCAGGAATAATCAGCTCCAGCAAGTAGTTCCTGGTGCGTACAATATGTTTCATGGAAAGCCCTTACCTTTCACAAATCTCTGGTAAATTTCTGGTTCAAGATTTAGTTTAACAAGCTCCTTCTTTTAGAACTTTTCTTATAGTCTATTTGAACAGAATGGGTCTTTATATTTTTTGGGCCAAAAATCAATGCCATTATTGTTTACTTATATTATTATTTTATAGCAGACACCATTACTGTGTGTGTTATTTTAATAATATTTATCTACATTTAGATCTTATGTGCAGAAAGTTAGGTAATCATATTTCTAGTCCATACCATGTTATTATCATTTGTCCCTGTAGGGAACTCGTTTTAATTAAAAAAAAAAATAGTATTTCCCTCTTATTTCCCATAGTCAGCTGTGTCTCCTGTAACCAAGACAGGACTGTAATGTGTTTGATTTATGCCATTCAGTATATATGGAATCTTACAGAATATTTGCATTGTTTTTATGTGAATGTATTTTAAATTTATAGAAATGATATTATGCTATAAATCTCATCCATTTCTTTTTTCTATGTTTTATAAATCCATGTTGCTATGCACCATAAACAATTTTTATAAAAGTGGAATCAGTTTCCAAAATTTACAAGTAAAAATATTTTTCAGCAAACCTAAATTGTTGGCTTCTCTTTGAGTCCGCACTCCTGTATGGCAAACAATTATAGGAGTTGTATTGACTACTACAAGAGGGGAATATACTTTCTGTTTCATCATTAGGCCCTAGTCACTCATTAACTGTCTCCTCTAAGCATTTTAATTTGCAGCCTCTAGAAGCTATGAAACATGAATGTGGCTCATGGGACATTGTAGCCTGTTAAACTTTTATACTTTCCTTCCCTTCCCCTCTTTTCCATCCCTATCTCTAAGTCTCCAAGTTAACTTACAACTACCAATCTTTTTCTTGGTTATTAACAAGTTTTTCTCCAAGGACAAAAAGAGACTCCACCATTCCTCTCCATATTCACATTTAAATAAGTTCAGTCCTTCATTTCTACTACAGCCTTGCAGTATGTCCTGTTTGAACACCTTTTCTTTTATCTTTAACCCAAATGTACTCTACAGTACCTCTGTCTTATCTGAAGTTTTGCTTTCCATGGTTTCAGATATCTGTAATCAATGGCAGTTCGGAAGTATTAAATGAAAAATTGCAGAAATAAAGAATGTATAAGTCTTTAGTTGCATGCCATTCTGAGTAGCATGATGAAATCTTGGGCCATTCTATTCGATCCTGTCCAAGATGTGGATTATCCCTTTGTCCAGCATCTCCACACTGTCTATGCTATGCACCTCTTAGTCTCCTAGTAGGCATTTCAGTTATTAGATCTACTGTCACAATATTGCAGTGTTTGTGTTCCACTAACCCTTATTTTGCTTAATAATGGCCCAAAGCACAGGAGTGGTGATGCTGTTAATTTGCATATGCCAAGAGGACCTTTAAAGTGCTTCTTTTGAGTGAAAAGCTGGAAGTTGTCAACTTGAGGAAAGAAAAAAAGTCATATGCTGAGGTTGTTGAAATCTATGGTAAGAACAAATCTGTTTGTGAAGTTGTAAAGAAGGAAAAAAAAATTGTGTTAGTTTTTGCTGTGGCACCTAAAACTACAAGTTACTGCCACAGCGCGTGATAAGTGCTTAGTTAAGATTGAAAAAACATTACATTTGTGGGTAGAAGACATGAACGGAAACTTGTTCTAACTGACGGCAATTGGGTTTGGTACTATCTGCTGTTTCAGGGATCTACTGGGGGTCTCCAAACTTATTCCCTCCAGATAAGAGGGCACTACTGTATGCACTTTGTCCTCATTTGTGAGATGAGACTTCCCTCTCCAGATATAATTTCCAGTATTTCCGTTAGAGCCCTGCCTTTTCTCACTTCTCTATACCTTCATATATTAATCCTTATTCTATCACTGCTTCTAAACCCAGAATTCTCTGCACCCTCACACATCTCCTGTTTTGAAGTACTATATAGGTTCTGTTTTTACTATTCATTCCTTCCTTCAATCAGTCGGTCAACGAATATTAATTTAAGGGTTAAATATAGCTTGAAAATACACTGAAGTCTCAACATGTATTAGAATCCATAATTAGTCTGAAGAATCACAGGTTGATGGCTTAAAGTTATTTCCAGATTAATTTCTCTTCAGCTTATTACTATGTCCGCAAAAAGAGGTAGAAATAACATATTTAGGGTAAGGATAAGTGTGGAAAGTTCTCTCTAATGTATTGCTATTTCCTTGTGGAGCCAGATCTTTTTTTTTTTTTTTTTTTTTTTGAGACGGAGTCTCGCTCTTTCGCCCAGGCTGGAGTGCAGTGGCGCTGTCTTGGCTCACTGCAAGCTCCGCCTCCCGGGTTCAGGCCATTCTCCTGCCTCAGCCTCCCTAGTAGCTGGGGCTACAGGCGCCCGCTACCACACCCGGCTAATTTTTTTTCTGTATTTTTAGTAGAGACGGGGTTTCACCGTGTTAGCCAGGATGGTCTCGACCGCCTGACCTCGTGATCCACCCGCCTCGGCCTCCCAAAGTGCTGGGATTACAGGCGTGAGCCACCGCGCCCAGCCGGAGCCAGATCTTAAGTTTGGTAGTTGTTGCAGCTGATATGAATCTAGGAATCCACGAGGTCAAAGAATTCAAGGCCCTGGTTCTGCTACACTTTAAAACATCAGGATAGAGGAGGAAATTCCTTGCTGTGACGCAGTTACCTATCTCTATGTCCTGTTTCTGATATGCCACTGGACTCACAGCACACCTGGCCATGCTAACTGACCACAGTATGCAAGAAATTTCTAACCATCAGAGGCTTCAGTTCTTTCCAGTTTGAGCTGAAAATAGAAGGTCAGTGATAGAGAGGTTGTAGAGGAGCACTTTAAATTGTAGATCTCTTCCCTAAAGTGAGTATAAGGAATACAAGCATGACAATGTGTTTTATACATCTGGAAAAGCAATTTCCAATGTTAGTCATGGATCACAGGAAGCAGAGTACTTCCCTTTTATAGATCTTTGTCATGAAAGAATTTACTTTTCTCATCTGTCTGAAGATCTGGTATATAAAAGTCCAAAGCAACATTCAAGATGAAAATTTTCATATACCTACAGAAAAATTTCATATGCCTATGGAAAATTTTTATATACCAGTGTTCGGTTGAATTTTGATGATTTATTTTGTTACCACTACAGTTTTAATTGACATGGTTTTTTTTGTAGTATATATAATGTAGTTCTGATATCTTAAAGTTAATTTCGTCTTTTTTGGTAAGTATTGTTTAAAGTAAGAAAGACAATAAATCAATTTAACAATAGCACATATTTCTACCAACTTGTTTATTTTTAGCCTATAATAGAATTATGTTTATGTATGTTATTTATAAATATAAAATTTTGTTTATGCTAGTTTCAAGGAAACAGGTTACCTAAATGAAGTTGTTTTTCATTCAATGCAGTGTTCTCATATCTATTGACTACCTACTTTGTGTCAGGCACTGCACATGTTGCTATACATATTTTATTTAAACATTCAAATTAAATTGAGGTTGGTGTTATTGTTTATATTTTATAGAAGAATGAGTCTCATAGAGAATAAGTAACCTGAAGAAGATTATACAGATAGTATGTGGCAGAGCTATAGTTAAATAATGACATTAAATAAAGCCTACACACACATCCGCACACTTTGAAGACTAAGCCAACTGTTTAGAGCTTGGCAACGAACCTATCTGATTCTAGATCTTACAATTTCCCCACTTTAATGATTGTGTTACAAGAAAGAGACAACTTGTTTTCATTCCCTTCCCCAGGGTTGGCATGGAGATGTGCTTACCTAGTTTGATTTGAGGGGCACTAGGAAGGCAGGCTTACTCAGATCCAGACTAGCTCCGGTTCAAATCCTCATTTGAAAGGCTACCATTTAAGAAATATTTCTTAGTTTTTTTTTTTCTTTTGGTAACATCTAGTTCTATACAAATCCCTTAGTAAAATATCAATATTCTTAGAGTATTATACTTTGAGTCAATATCAGTAACACTTTAGGGGATTTGTTGATCCAAATCATTTCCAGTGGTGACAGATAACAGAGAGCACAATCCCAAAGGAGTGAGGCAAAGGACGCAGTGGAGGTTTTCCTTTAGGAAGGCAGGCAGTAGGTAATGCTGAGAGAGCCAAACAAGTGATATGAAACAGAAAATAAATTGCATTTATTTACAGTTTTATCAAATTTTATCTGCATAGTGCATAGACAGGCATCAATTCTGACCTTGGGAAAAAATATCACTTGATAATATGAGACTGTCAATTTACCATAGAAATTACTTAGGAAAGTAAACATAGTACCCTACAAAGTCTTAAGCTTGTTTTTTTGCAAAACAACAACAAAAAAGCATAACCTAGTTGAGATGTGTCAGATGTGTTCTCTTCTGGTAATGTGTGCTATCTCAAGGTCAAATGAATCCCAGCAGGGAGACCACAAATACACAGCATTATAAATGACCCCAGGAAAACAGAAACATGAATATTCATCATTTTTAAGCATTCCAAGACAGCAGGAGACTATTTTCATGAGGTTGTATGACACCTTTAATGATATGACTATTTGACAGCTCTTTCGTTCCAGGAAAAAAAAAATCGACAAAGAGTCAGGGGAGTCATAAGTCAAATCAAAATCTCAAAGGAGAAATCAAACCTCAGAAGTACTTTTCAAAGACTGGGACAGAGTGTTCAATGTAAAGGCGTGTTACAGTGTCTCACGTTTGTTTCTAAAGTGTTATACAATCAATAATTAAGCAACAATAATTTCAATTAAAGGAGGACTAGGAAGATTTCAAAAAAAGGATAAAACTGTAAAGACTTTGCTCAACACATCTAGTTAATCAGAGACAGAATAATAATTAAGTTATAGTTTTAATTTTTATTTCCTCAACACTAGGCAATAAAATGATTGGTATTCTTTGTTGATAGCAAAATCCTAGTTCCCACTAATAATATCCATTCATCTACTTATTCCTTTGACAAGCATAAAAATATTAGTTGTACTATATGCTAAGGACTGTCAAAATCACTAGGGTTGGGGCTGGGCACAGTGCTTATGCCTGTAATCCCAGCACTTTGGGAGGCTGAAGCAGGCTGACCACTTGAGGTCAGGAGTTTGATACCAGCCTTGCCAACATGGCGAAACCCCGTCTCTACTAAAAACACAAAAATTAGCCGGGTGTGGTGATGGGCACCTGTAATCCCAGCTACTTGTGAGGCTGAGGCAGGAGAATCGCTTTAACCCGGAAGGCAGAGGTTGCAGTGAGCCGAGATCGCGCCACTGCACTCCAGCCTGGGCGATGAGACTCTGTTTCAAAAAAAAAAAAAAAAAATCTGTAGGGTTATAAGAATACCAGAAGATGCGGGAGATGAGACTGAAAGCAAGACAAGGAACACAAAGTTTCGTTACTGGAGAAAGAGCCCAGGTGTAGATACAGTGAAGGAAGTAATTGAGTAAAAGGTTGGAAGCCAAGGAATCCACTCAGCATCTGTCTGGTTGCCTGCCGTGGTTGCTGGGTCTGCATACTTGTGGGAGTTATACAATATCCGGCACAAAAAGGGTACACGTTAAAGTTTCTGTGATTCTAGCTGCCACGTATTGACTCGATGTGTTAACCCAAGCAATTATCAAATGCTGATCAGAAATGCTGAGCATTTTAACATTGTAAATGGGATCATGTTAACATTCCTGTTAAAAATTGCTTCAAAAACTTTCCACTGCACTCAGAATAAAATTCGAACTCCTTAGTACCACCTATAAAGCCTTATGTGATCCAGTCCCTGCTACCTCTTCAATTTCATCTCATCACTCTGCCCCTGACTCTCCATTCTCCACTTTAACTACCCTCCCTTTAGTGCCTCCAACATGCCAAGACCTCTGTATGTGCTTTCCCTTTGCCAGGAAGTCTCATGTCAATCGCTCTCCATCTGACTAGCCCCTATTCATCTTTGCAATTTGAGTTCAAATGTCCCTTAATAAGGGATCCTCACCTATCAAGTCTAAAATAAATTACTAGTTTCTCATTATGCTATCTCATTTCCCACTGTTCTTTTTCTTCATGGCACATATTATAAATTGAAATCATATGATAGCATATGATGTAATTATCTTCCATTATATCTAGAGTGTTTTAAGCTCCCTGAGGACAGGGATCATGTTGCTTTTATTTACAATATAATGCTAGACTTATAATAAGTACTAGATAAATGTTTGTTAAAAGGATAAAGGACAATTATGTATAACTTTGAAGAATATGAGAAATTAATTACTATATAATGCATATAGGACGTTGCAATCAAGAGATTATTTTTGACTTGGGTTCTAAAATTTAGAATAGCAGATTCAGCCCTTGGTAACAACCATGTGGGCTAGATGACTGTGACTGTTCCTGGTACATTTGGCATCCAAAAGTATCCAATCCCGGCTCTTTGGTCCTGTCACTTTTCTTCTTTGAGCCTTAGTTTCCCAAAGCATTAAATGGGTGGTTGAGTTGGATGGTCTTTGTGATTCCTATATTGAAGTTTTTGTAAAATTATATTCTCATGTAGAAATTTTAGGAAAAAGTGATTTCTGTGCAGCATTAAGGATTTTAATTCTTAGCAGCCTTTGCTTATCAAGTTGGTGGTATAACAGAGGAAGGTTAAGGACTTGGGTCTATTTACTTACTTTTCACCCGTTCCCTTCACCTAAAAAACATATCTGATTCCCTGAGCAGAGACTAGAAATATGCATGGGCATGTACGCAAAAAAAAGACAAGCATTTAACTTTCCTAATACTCTTATCACTTCAACATCTAGGTTTGGCAGAGAAACACAGAACTCCTCACAACAGCTGCGTTCACTATCATGTGTGCATACCAAATAAGGGATTTCTACTTTACAAAATGCTGTTTCGGAAAGTCAAACATACAGTTGCTCTATCCTCATATGTCACTGTCTTAAGAAAGTAAATATTCTGTAAATTCATTTCAAAGAATATGTTAGACTTTTTTTAAAAAAAAAACTTTTGATCTGTACTCACATACTGTAAGTTGCCAAAGGACACATTAGGAATGTGGGTAGAATTTCAAATATATGACACCATACTTATAAATGTGCTTGTTACTGCTACAGTAAGTCTTTTGACTTTAAAAATACCATTCTGCCAATGGACGTTGCCACTGTTTCTCAAAGGGTCAGTGTTGTAGAGTATCTACCATATCATTTGGCGTGATTATACATTCACTGTTGATAAAGTTCAATTCATAGCCAGGAAATAATAGCCATCAACTAAGATTCACAAAGACAAGTCTATTAGTAAACTATTACCACAACCACCTATAGTTTAGCATAAAAAAACTTTCTAAGTTGTAACATGACTTGAACTGAGAACCACAAGGTGTCACAGACTCATTTTATAATCTAGGAGAAGAAAATTTTATTCCTAATTATTCCTTTATTCTGAAAGAGAGACAATAATACCAGATACATGTCTCAGTCTCAGAAACATTCAGAATATTTGTGGATTGATGGTGTAGGCCCTGATCTGATGGATACTTTATGAACATAGACCTGAATAACCATTATGGGTATGCAAACATTTGTCTAATAATTATTTTTGGAGAAGATATTTTTATAAATTACTATATTAGTTAAGAGCTGAAATCAAATGATAAAGATCTGGAAGTACAATTGGAGCCGAGTAAGACCCAAGACTTTGGTTTACACCATTTCTTCTGTAGTCTGGGATACTCTATGCTCTTTCTTTTCCCAACATGAACATCAAACATCCCCTTCTCTATAAAGTCTCTCTTTAATTTGCCTCCCCCAAGCAAATCGATCACTCACTCCCACACTTTTTTGTATATTACTGTGGTACTCTGCACACATGCCTATTATAAACTTTAATTACTTTGTTGAATTCACTTCCTTTTGGTAGTAAGCTTCTTGAAGGAAGTCACCATCTTACTCATCTTTGTTTATTTTCAACTTTATCTTAGTACTATGTGCCATGGCTAAAAAAGATGAATAAAGTCTAGGCTCTGCTTGCTGGGACTTCTCATTGTGATCAGATTTTTAATAAATGTGGTTACTTGACACCTGGTATTAATAGCTTGTCAAAGATTAAAGATTATGTTCAGCAGAAAACTGGCCTTGGGCTCTCAGAAAAAAATAAGTAAAATGTGGTTTGTTTCCTTTCTTTTTCCCAGTCTATGCCTATCTTCCAACCCTCAGGTTCTCAGAGTCTTCTGGTTGCCTACAGAGCTTCAAAATCCTCACATGATTCACATAGAATAGATCTGCCATTCCTGGAAATGTCTCAGCTCTCTTCATTTTTTTATCTAATTTTTTCTTGCTCTAACCTGTCCCCAGTGAAGACTCCTTTTTATATATGTTTATGCTTGGTGTTGATCTGATTATATGAACAAAGTAATTTATATTACACAGTAATTTATATTATAATAAATTATTGATATCTTATGGAGTATTAATAAGAATTTCTGATTAAGAGAAAGTGTGAACTTACAGAGAGGCTATTGCTCAGTTTGATCCTGAACTACAAAGCATAAATCCATCTACTTAACTCTCCTCTTCTGGGTTCCAGGGCAGGGCAGTGAATCCCTTGGATGAGATTCTCATCTCTCTTAGGTCCACTTTTCTGAAACATGAAGAAAATACTCTCTGGGATTTGGTGGAATGAGGTGGCCAGAGATGACTAATTTAAAAATGAATGAAGTCGATCTTTGGTACTATGTATATTCTCTCTCACATTTTTTTATTCTTGTGTATCCTAATAATCATTTTTTATTTTTCTAATAAGCATGTTAAGTAGATAATTTAAAAATTATATGAGAGTAGAAATTCATTCTCACACTGCTAATAAAGACATACCTGAGACCGGGTAATTTATAAAAGAAAGGGGTTTAATGAACTCACAGTTCTACATGGCTGAGGAGGCTTCACAATCATGGCGGAAGACAGGAGGAGCAAAAGTCATGTCTTACATGGCATCAAGCAAGAGAGTGTGTGCAGGGGAACTCCCCATTATAAAACTATCAGATCTCATGAGACTTATCCATTACCACAAGAACAGCACAGGAAAGACCCATCCTCCTGATTCAGTTACCTTCCACTGGGCCCCTCACACAACACATGGGAATTCTGGGAACTACAATTCAAGATGAGATTTGGGTGGGGAAACAGCCAAACCACATCAGGTTATAAAGTGTTTTCTGGGTTAAATTGATAATTTTAAGGACTAATTTATCCAAAATCTCCCTAGCCTACTTATTTATTTTGATGAAATGAAGTATACTTTCCACAAGGCATGTAGAAAAAAAAGACTGATTTATTAAGACAGTGTAGACAAACAAGTAAAAAGACTTATATAAGCATACATCATCCATATCCAAATCTTAATCTTGGGTTCCAATGCAGGGACACATCCATGGACTGGTTATTTACAATGTATAGTCAGTAATGGGCAGTGGGTCCATTATTCTTTTAGATTGTTGTGCTTTACTTCTGCTGGATCCCCAATTACTTGATTTGTTCCATGAACCCATGAAGATTTGGTTGACTGAAGTACAATTTGACCAAAGCAGTGGTGACTCGATGCCCCCTTCCCTAGTAAGCACCCTTATAAATGCCCTCTGTGCTCCAGTCACTCATATAAATTCTTAAATTAAAAGTAGATTTTTGCCCTTAATTCACTCCCTCAGTTTTGTTGTTTCAAGCCTTGAAAAAAGAGCCACTTCACGATGTGGTTATCCAAAATCATTGGAATCGATTGTTTGTTCTCAGAAAGGAAGATAGACAAACATTAGAACAGTTTACACTAAATTCGTTTAGGTTTTTGTCACTTAATATATACCACGTGCATTTTCTAATTGCTGTGGTTTGAATGCTTTTGTCCCCTTCAAAAGTCATGTTGAAAATCCATCCCCGATGCAACAGTGTTGGAAGGTGAGGTCTGGTGGGAGATGTTTAGAACATGAATGCTCTGCTCTCATGAATGGACTAATGCCATTATAAAGGGCTTGATGGAGGGATTTTGCTCTCTCTCTCTTTTCTCTCTTTCTCTTTCTTTTTGCTCTTCCGCTTTCTGCCATGTGAGGACATGGTATTCCTCCCCTCTTCAGGACCCAGCAAGAAGGCTCTCATCAATGCCATTGCCTTAATCTTGGACTTCTCAATATCTAGAACTGTAAGAAAATTAATTTATGTTCTTTATACATTACCCAGTCCCAAGTACTCTGTTATAGCAGCACAAAATAGACAGAGACACCCATTTTATTTACTATTCATATAAAATAACTCCCTTGACTGCTTAAAAATAGTACACTGTGTAAAATAACATGCTTTAATTTTACCAATCTCATAGTGTTGAATATTTAGTTTCTTTCTAAATATTTGCTGTTACAAGTAATATTCAGCAACAGTTTACATATTAAAATCCACTATCACCTGACTTTTGTTCCATATTCATTTTACTGATGACTTAAGTGTCCTTTACTCACAAGGCACTAATTGGAGCACTAATAAAAAATGACCTTGGTTAGGAGCTGGGGATACCCTTGTTGTTCAATTATTAATTTGCCACCGTCTTGGCAACTGAAAGAACATCCAGAAGCCAAAAGAAAATTACCTTGATTTACTTTGTTTTTTCAAGACACTTTACCATCATTCTTATTGTCCTAATAGTGTTCTTTCAAAGCTTTTCTTAGCTGACTGAAGTGGTGAAGAACCTATGAGCAGAACTCTCATTTTAATCATCTGTGACTCTGAGAGATTAGCAGAGCATCCGCTATCTATTAATTTTTTAAAAAGGAAATCACTTCTTAATTACAAATAGGGAAAAAATTGATAGCTACAAATAAGAAAAAAGAGAACCATTTTGTCTCTGTATATCCATTTTTTGCCTTTATAGTTATTTACAGAGGACTTCTACTTTCTCCCCTTGAAGAGGACCATATGCTTGAACATACAAATTTCCAGAAGGTCAGAAAACACAACACTTCCGTGGAATGCTGCTTCACATAGGGCTACTTGTGTTGGAGCCAGGAAGCTTGCTTTTAATGACCCAAGGGGACTATGAGCCTTTTCTGCTGGATCGAGCTCCTGGTATTACTTTCACTATGTTTCTGGCCTTAGCAAAATCTGGAACAGACTGCAGGCTGGAGTGTGTTGGCACACGTATGCAGCTCTACCATCTGTTTTGCTTCTTCAATTCATCAATTTCCTCTACTTATGAGATCTCCCACCACTTAGTAAAGTTATGAAAAATATGTACTTGTCTTTAATTACTTTTACAGATCTTTTCAGAGGAAATTGTGCTGTAGTATGTGAGTAAGGATAAAGTAAAATGTTATTGCCAAAAAAAGCAGTAAATCATTAAAATTAAATATTTAAGCCTCAACTAATTAACAAGTCAATGAAAGTTGTGGTCTTGGCTGCCTAATGAACAGCTATGGAAAGGAAGCTGCGTAGCCTGTCCTTGACAAAGGCAGGGTCTGCTACTGTTCCGTTGCAAGCTTATTTTTTGTTAAGTACTTCAGATTTATGTTTAAAACTCCTAAAGCCATTTCCTCTCTATATATTATTGGAAATATTTAAGCCCTAAGATGGACTATATCTGTCTCTTACAGAAGGTAAGAAATGATAACTCCCTTGAGAGGAGAACCACCATCATTTGTAATATCTAAAATAATTGGTAAAGCCTGAAAACATTTTGATATTTTAGAAGGGATATATTTATGTTAACATAGTAATTATATTTCCATCCTAGACGACAGAAACTAAGTGCCAGTCTGCCAGGGAATTTTTCCAAACCTCTTCAATTCTTTGCACACAGCAGCCAGATGGGCAGAATCTGGGACAAAGAGTCAGCTAGAAGAATCAGAAAAGGTGAAAAAGAGCACCTATAAAGATAAAATACAGGGCACATAAACATACTCTGGGTCTTATAAGTGTCCACAGGAGTTCCCCGTCATAGTAAAAATGTATTTTAAAAGAATATTAATACGCCACCCCACAAAACTGCCTGACAAACTGTAACTTGCCCAGCATAATGGAATCTGATGACCCTGTGGCAGAATTAGAAATACAATCTCAAATTCCTGACAAAATCATCAATTACCAGAAACTGTTCTCCACGTCATTTTAGTTTATTGCAAAGAATGCCTTGTGGTCACAAAAACTCAAATTAAGGTGATTCTGAAGGCAGTTAAATTTGTATTTTTCCATTCTTCATGGAACTAAGAAAGGAAATGAGAAAAATTGCTTTTAAATTCCTTAACTATTCTGACCATTCACCAGTAATTTTAAGTAAGAGTTGACAATTCAGGCTTTAAACCTGAAGGCAACTACTTGGTGCAAATGCAACTTTTTGCAGATCCCTTCAGATAAACAAAAAATAGTTTCTCTACCTGTTAACATTTGTTGCTGCAACTCGGATAAGATTGTTCCTTTGTCTAATGAAATTAAGTTCATTAGATTCAAAACAAATGTATTCTATTTTTCTCCAGTGTGTCTATGTTTTTTTGTTTTCTTTATTTTTTCTTTATTTTGCATCAGTCTACAGAAGGTGAAAGAGATGGAGGATTATACATGGAATTTTTTTTTTTTTTTTTGAGATGGAGTTTCGCTCTTGTTGCCCAGGATGGAGTGCAATGGCTTGATCTCGGCTCACTGCAACCTCCGCCTCCCAGCTTCAAGCAATTCTCCTGCCTCAGCCTCCCGAGTAGCTGGGATTACGGACATGCGCCACCACTCCTGGCTAACTTTGTTATTTTTAGTAGAGACGGGATTTCTCCATATTGGTCAGGCTGGTCTCGAACTCCCGACCTCAGGTCATCCGCCCACCTCGGCCTCCCAAAGTGCTGGGATTACCGGCATGAGCCACCGTACCCGGCCTGTACATGGAATGTTTTTAAGGAGTTAACGCCTGGGTCAACAGAAAGCTGAAATAAGGAATAGACCATAGTCTGCAATGAAGAGGTGAAGAGCACAGTTTCAGGCTCCATGTAATAAAATGATTGCGTTCTGCTTAGGTATTTCTAATTAAGTGGCCCAAGTATAAGGCAATTTCTTGGGGACAGATATTTAAAGAGTCTGGAATCATCATTGGAGGAGGCTTATTGGAATGCGGATTCCTTCTTTCCTTGACTAGTTTTAGACAGGTATGTGTGCGGAGACTGCCACTGCTCTCTGCATCGACATTAGATGTTTACATATCTGTCTCCTCCACTGGACTGAGGCTTTCCCAAGAGCCAGAGTATTTTTTTTTTTTTTTTTTTTGAGACGGAGTCTCGCTCTGTTGCCCAGGCTGGAGTGCAGTGGCAAGATCTCGGCTCACTGCAAGCTCCGCCTCCCAGGTTCACGCCATTCTCCTACCTCAGCCTCCCGAGTAGCTGGGACTACAGGCGCCCGCAGCCACGCCCGGCTAATTCTTTTGTAATTTTAGTAGAGACGGAGTTTCACCGTGTTAGCCAGGATGGTCTCGATCTCCTGACCTCATGATCCGCCCGCCTCGGCCTCCCAAAAGTGCTGGGATTAGAGGCGTGAGCCACCGCGCCCGTCCCGGAAGTATATCTTATTAATCTTTGTTCTCTTGGGGGTCTGGCATTTCGAAAAATGAAACAGTAGGCCTTTATAAACTAAATTGAACTCCTTCTGTAGGTGTATCTTAAACATGCCACGTAGCCTCTGACAGGAATAAAACAGGTTCTTGTTCATATAGTTTCCTTATTTTTACAAAATCTTACAGAATTTTCAGTTTGCAGAATTGTTCATGGAATTATTTGTGGAATTTGGATCCTTGATATTAAAGAACTTTCAGATTTTATTGTTACCACACGTACAGGGAGAATATGACATTACTATCCTGCTCTGTTAAGTAATTGTGAAATCCTGTTGAGGTATTCTGATTTTGTAGGTGAATACATAATGGATGTTGTCAAGGCACTTTTAGTGTATATCTCATAACAACCACATAAGCTGTCTTCCCGTGTCCCATTTTTAGGTGGAATCACTTTGTGGTGGTGTAGTCTACACTCAGTACAGAATTATCCTTCTTTTTCAATGTCAATCACCTTCCATTGAGTCCCAGAGAGGCTCTTACACATCTTTTAATTTTTAGATTGAGGGGTTCACGCTCTTCAAAGCATCTCAGCTGGCTTACATTTAGCTAATTCTTCCTTCATTTTCTTTTCTTTATTTTTTTTATTTTTACTTTTTTTTTTTGAGATGGAGTCTCACTCCGTCACCAGGCTGCAGTGCAGTGGCACGATCCCGGCTCACTGCAACCTCCGCTTCCCAGGTTCAAGCAATTCTCCTGCCTTAGCCTCTCGAGTAATTGGGATTACAGGCGCGTGCCACCACGCCGAGCTAACTTTTGTATTTTTAGTAGAGACGGGGTTTCACCATGTTGGTCAGTCTGGTCTCGATTTCGTGACCTCGTGATCCACCCGCCTCGGCCTCCCAAAGTGCTGGGATTACAGGCGTGAGCCACCAAGCCCGGCCATTTTCTTTTCTTATCCCTTAAAAATACAATTGTGAAGTCTTCTGCCCAAGGCACTAAAAAATAATCAGAAATCCTTAAAGATCCCAGCATTATTTCTCCTCTTCTTTCCAGAATTGACTTCCTATCTGGACTTTCCTCTTAAATCAATAACAACCTGGAAAATCTGAAAATACATTCTAAAAATTCTCCAAAAATTGATAGCTTTTTAAGGTTTCTGGATAACTGCGATCGCTTGGTACCTAAGCAAAACGTATTCTCAACAAACTCCTCTCTTCCCTCCCTCCATTCTTCCCTTTCTTCTTTCTTCTTTTGTTTTTCTTCTTATTTATCTTTCTATTGTTTGCATCAATTTTTATCAAAACTTATTTATTCACTTAAATAAATATTTGATGGTTTAAATAAATTTTAAAATATATAAAGGAATGCAGTTATTAATAAAAGTCTCCCTTACACTACTGTTTCTCTATGCAATTTTTCTCAGCCTTTGCTGTCATGCTGCAATTTTTATTATTTCTCTTTTATTTCTTAATATTAACTTGACCTGTAGACTCGGGTGTGCTAAAAGACTTGACTTTTTTGCCCTTCAACTTCACTTTTAGTAAAGAGGTACTAAGATTTACTTACATATATGTAATATTTTAATAAAGAAAAGGAAATTGAAGAAATTCATTGTGTGACAGCAGATATATTAGCAATAAATCCAGGATATAGTGAATCCTTGATGTGAACTTTAAAAAGTTATTCTTAATGTAAGTTTTTTCAACATTGGGTCATCATGTAAGGGACTACATAAATGTAAAAATGGAGTTGATATCAACCTGGAGCTGATATCCAATCCATTTTTTTCCTGGAACCAGATCCATAATCAGAACATATATATAAATCAGATGCTGGAAAGAGATCATTATTGTGATATTTGAATACTTTCTGGGTGCAAAGAAAAGTGTAAACATCCTCAGTGAGCAGTAAACTATGGGAGGGACAGAGTTTTGCTTTTAAAGATCTTATGGGTTTAAGAAATAAGTATTGGCTGGGCACGGTGGCTCATGCCTGTAATCCCAGCACTTTGGGAGGCCAAGGTGGGCAGATCACCTGAGGTCAGGAGTTCGAGGCCAGACTGGCGAACATGGTGAAACCCCGTCTCTACTAAAAATACAAAAATTAGCCAGGTATGGTAGTACGTGCCTGTAGTCTCAGGTACTCCGGAGGCTGAGGCAGGAGAATTGCTTGAACCCGGGAGGCGGAGACTGCAGTGAGCCGAGATGGCACCACTGCACTCCAGCCTGGGCTACAGAGTGAGACTCTGTCTCAAAAAAAAAAAAAAAGAAAGAAAGAAAAGAAATAAGTATTACTAGCCAGGTGCAGTGGCTCACCCCTGTAATCCCAGCCATTTGGGAGGCCAAAGTGAGTGGATCATCTGATGTCAAGAGTTCAAAGTCATCCTGGCCAACATGGTGAAACACCGTCTCTACTAAAAATACAAAAATTAGCCAAAAATTAGCTCAGCGTGGTGGCAGGCGCCTGTAATCCCAGCTACTTGGGAGGCTGAGACAGGAGAATCGCTTGAACCCGGAGGTGGAGGTTGCAGGAAGCCAAGATCACACCATCACACTCCAGCCTGGGCAACAAGAGTGAAACTCCATCTCAAAAAAAAAAAAAAGAAAAAGAAATAAGTATTACTATAAAAATATTTTAGTATTGCTACCAAAAAAAAAAAAAAAACCTGTAAACTCAGTAGAAGGAAAAAAAAGAAGAAAGGAGGAAGAAGAGGGAGAGAACAATTCCTATTATCATTGCACATTTTTGGAATCAAGCAGACATGGGTTGGAAAACCCAAATCCACCATTTTCTAATTGGTTAAATTTAAACCTGGATCTCAGCATCCTCATCTATAAAATAAGAATAATCATAATATCTACTTGAAAATGGAAAAGAGTTTTTCAAACTGTCAAGTGTTAAAATAGTTGTTATTTTGTTGTAATTATTTTGAAACTGCAATTCTATTCTTTCTAACTTATTTTAGTAAGTTATTAACTTCAATCATTGAAACCTAGTATTGGAATTATTGTCAGGCGAACTAGTACACATGACGTCTTTGTGCATATTCCAGAAAGGTGCCCCTCTCAGTAGATCTTAATACTGTGGGGAGAAAGTTGGCAAATACAGAGCATCTTTGTCTGATTCTAGGCCCTCATGACCAGAAAGCCTGGAATTACTTTGCAGGTTGACAATGGTTGAAATTTCAGGATCCATTCACTTCATTGGCTATGTTTTTATGCAGAACAAAACCTGAATTGTGGGCTGGTCTTCGGTTGGAAGACTTTTTGGAGGGCATATAGTGGAGGTTTTTTTTTTCCCTCCTCCAGAGAGCATGTGTAAAATAAGGGACTCATTCATTATGCAGCAAATGTTGTTTGTTATTGGCTTGCTGTATATTCACCTTTAACTTCCAAACATCAGTCTTACATTCCCTCCTCTCAAGTCACAGGATATATTTCCATACGGCAACTCCTAAATTGAAATTTACAGTCAGGTTTTCACTAGGAGTTGGATGGTGGACTTGACTGGTGTCCTTTTTTTTTTTTTTTTTTTAATTTCTAACAGAACTCTCAATTTTGCTTAAATATGCATTATCTTTCTCATATATGGTTATACCTCAAAGGAACATCACCCCTCATATATATAAAGTTATTCTTAACTGGTTATTAGTTCCAGAGTGTTGTGGCTAGTGTAGGACTTGCTGCATTCCTTTGTAAGTGATGAAGCAAGGAATGGCAATGAGACACAATTCTGACCAGTGCAGTCACAATAGAAATATTTTGGATAAAGTTTTACCTCTCTTTCATTAGAGAGCCATAGGAAGACTGTTGGATGTCTTCTCTGGGTTTAATGCTTTTATCCATCATTATCTGAAGGCTACTTTAATTCTGAGCTTCCTATTAAAAAAAAATACAATTTCTTATAGTTCACACCAGTCTGAGTAGGAGTTTCTGTCACTTGGACCCAAGAACTTTATAACTGACGAGCATACACTTGTCTCAAGGCAAGGTAGCCTCAGTGTTTTTCCTTTTCAGGTTTCTTCATGTGCTTTTCTTCCTGACCTAGCTTGTCCCAGTCAACCTCTTCTGATGCTTTTTAACATGTTGAAGGCGAGAGTTGAAAGCAACACTTCCTTATGGCATGTCCAGTGCAGAGCATTCTACTGACTCATGTTGAATTCATGTTGACACAAATCCTATGACATTTTCGGGCACTCCCCAGGGATACCACATCCCCTTCATCCTGTAATAGTGCAGTCATTTGGTGGTTTGTTTAGCTAAAGTGTATATTTTTAAAAAATCATCTTTATTTTATTTCATCTGGTTAGATTTAGTCCATCACTTTATCCAGTTGAAAGAGTATGGAAATCCTTCTTGGAAAACTATGCATTTGTTTTCTCTTTCTTGTTAATCACCCTTAATTAAGTTAAATAAGTCTTTTATATCTTTGTAGATAAAAATTTTGATCCAGAAAGGACTGAAATGAAATTACTGAATCAAGTCATTAAAAAACTCTTCTGATTGAGTTTGATCAACCAGTAAACTCTTTTCATGAACTTTCACAACCACTTAAAAATGACCTGAAGTGTATGATTTGGCCCATGGTCTATCCTACCTTCTACAAATACTGGTATTGTTTTTCTCTTATCAAAAAGAGGTGTATTTTTTTTCTTTTTAGCATTAGAATTTATTTTTACTATCTTTTTAGTTTTAAAATATAAATAGTTTCATTTGCCATTTCTCAGTCTTAATGAACACATTTTGATCTTTACTGACCACTTTTTTTTTTAATAAACCATCTACAATTTTTCCTAGAATGAATATAACATACGTAGCCTATTGTTAATGCAAAACCAAATTTCCCATTATTCTGGAAATCTATTGAGAAACCATTTATCTGACTCTAGCCATTAGATACCAGATAGCTGTTCCATTATTCTTCATAGATCATTGCGAGAGGTCTAGTGATCTCATTGGTATGTAGTTTTATTTTCCTGAAAGGTAATTAATCTTGGCCAAGGAGCTAAAAGTCTAAATCTAGAGTGTCTAGATGCTTTGCAGGTATCTTGGATTTAAATACTCTTGTTCTCATGTATGTTCTATCATCTCCACTCTGAAAAATGATTTCTTTTGATGGAACAGATAGTAAAATACTGTATAGTGATTAAAAATATGGGTTCTATAGTTAGGCTACTTGAGTTCAAACCCTGGCTCTGACGCTTTCTAACTGTGTGACTGTGGACACGATATACAACCTCTATTAATTTCAATATTCCCATTTGTGAGAAAAGGAATGATAACAATATCCATATCATGGTGGGTTTTTTTTTTTTAGGTTAAATGAAATAATCTGCCTACAAGTACTTAGTTTGATACCTGACACATGGAGATCAACTCAGTAAAGTGTAGTTTATACAGCGAAGATAAAAGAAGAGATACAGGGTTTTACATTCTAGTTATTGTAACTAACATTGCTGCTTTAAGTGACAGATCTGTGTTTTCTTATTCTTCTTGCACCAAGCAAGTATTTAAGAAAAGTCCTTTTGTCATCCTTAATATTTCTCACTAGTTGCAGTTTATTCTTGGCACTGTCTTACATTTTTCTTAGAGGCTTTGTCTTGCTCATTCTGGTGCGTCCTGCACCCATCTTGTGTATGTTTACAGACATTGCAATTTATCATGCTGTCTTTTTTATCTTTCTCTCCTCTTTTCTCTCATAAAGAGATATTTGCAGTTAATAGTCATAATTTTATTGGTTAGCATAAACTTTTCTCCTTGAATCAGGCATGGACATCAGCCCCTAACTTTTGGAAAAGTGCTTCCCTAAAGTAGGCACCTATTCTATGCCCAGTATTCCTCTTATTTTTAAGTGAACAACTTTGCATTTTCCTGTGGTTTCTATTTCTGTCAGAGATGGAACAGTTCCTCATGATTGGTTTGAATTAGGCCTAGAGTTCCTTTTGTCACTCAAAACATCCATCTTGTGAAGAACAAAATTGCCCACAAAGTGCTTTGAGAATTTATCAGACGTGGATTTTAGCCAAATTAAAACCGTATTTTTCCAGAAGGTAAGGTCCCTTCCCTCTGTCAGCAGCAATTCCATTCCTATTTAACAAAGAAAACTTTCATTACTGTTCTAGGAATGAGTGTTATCCCTTCAAGTTCTAGAGAGATTAGTGTTTGGATACGTTGTGTCTCAGGATTAGAATCTGGTTTTCTATTTGCTCATTATTTCCTTTTTTTGCTTCATCATTCAGGTTTCTGGGACCATAAAGTTTGTTTATAATTATCTTTTCTGTCTTTCTGTTTCCTCTTATAAAATGCTTTATTTTTATTTTTTTGTCATAAGTCCTCCATAGTAATAGTTTTTATTGTATGAGTTTAGCATTTATCTTACTCTCTCACCTTTTTTATGTAAGGAGGCTGATTTTTAAAGTAAGAATAGCAAATAATTTAATGCAAGGCATTCCCCCATAATATATTGTTTCCATTCTCCATCCAGAATTGCACCAGGGCTATATTAGGCTAATGTTCTGGGAAAGATAGTGAAACAGCCTTAATATTCTGTATTTCTTTTCAACAGAGAGTTCTCAGCTCTCTGCCTGACTTTGCAAGAAGGCTTGGCATTAAATCTTGAGTACTTCCATTAAAATAAAATTGTTTCAGAACTTCTATTTCAGTTAATACTTTTAAAAGAGAGACACTCTTTATATGTCAATTTCTGTTCATTTAAACATGCTTGTGGAGTTAGTTAATTAAAGGAAATTTTTGACTCTGTTAAGGCATTAGTAACAACAATCCTAATTCTGGAAATACAATTTTTTTCAGTAAACTACATGAACATTTCTGTTTTTAAAAAAGCATCAAGTTCTCTTCAGATGTTTAAATCACCAAATAATTTATACAAACAAGTAATAAACAAAACCCCAAATATTAACATACTGAGGTGTGCTCTTGATCAGGATGAATTTTTCCAAAGACATATGAATGGAACCAACCTACTAATATTATTTCTTTACCATGACACATTATTATTCTTTACTATAAATTTCGATTTCAATTTCAACTTGTTATTAAAAATAGTATCAAATAATTAGGTAAACTTAACAGCTTTATTGAAGTATTTAAATAAACAATAAGCTATCCATATTTAAAGTGTAGAATTTGATAACATTCGTCATATGCATATACTTGTGAAACCAGCACAACTGTGACAACGATCATATCCATCACCCCAAAGGCTTTATCAAGTCCCTTCATTTCACTTTCACTGCCCTGTCCCTATCCTCAGGCAACCTTAGGTCTGCTTTCTGACACTACAGTTAATTTGTATTTCCTAAAATTCTAAGTAAATGGAATCATGCTGCATGATTCTTTTGGCATGGCTTCTTTCAGTCAGCAGGATTATTTTAAGATTTATATATGTTGCCTGAAGCAATAGTTCATTCCTTTTATCCCTGAAAAGTATTCCATTGCATGTATATAAGTTTACCACGATTTGTTTATCCATTTGCTGGCTGATGAGCACTTGTATTGTTCCCACTTTGGAGCTATTACAAATAGACCTGGTATGACATTTGCATATACGTCTTTGTATAGACATATGCTTTCATTTCTTTTTGGAAAATAACTGGGAGTGGAATGGCTGGATCATATAGTAGGTGTATGCTTAAGATTCTCTTAAATAAACATTTTGTTTTAGGAGAGTTTTAAATTTACAGAAAAATTGTGAAGGCAGCACAGAAAGTTCATATATAGTCCACATCTGGCTTTCCTTATCATTAACATCTTACATTAATATAATATACAACTCATGAACCAATATTTATATAATATTATTAAGTAAACCCTCTATTCAGATTTTTTAAAATTTTTACTTATGGCCTTTTTTCTCTTCCAGGATCCCATGTGTGATACCACATTATATTTAGTCATCATGCCTCCTTAGGCTCCTCTTGGCTATGACAGTTTCTCAGACTTTCATTGTTTTTCATGACCCTGATAGTTTTGAGACATAACGGTCAGGTATTTCGTAGGCTGTCCATGAACTGGGATTTGCCAGTTTTTGCCTCATGTAATTGATACATTGATCATCATGTAGTAAATACCTTTCTTTATTCCCGATAATTGTCCTTGTTCTGAAGTCTGCTTTGTCTAAAATTAATATAGCTACTTCAGCTTTCTTTCAGTTAGTGTATTAACATAGTATTTTTATTACCACCTCTTAACTTTTAAACTATCTGAATCTATATGTTTAAAGTTGGTTTCTGGTATACACATAGTTTGGTCCTGACTTTTTATCCACATTGACCATTTCTTTTGGTGTATATAGATCATTCACATATAAGTGATTATTGATATGATTGGATTAATGTATCATTGGAACTGTTTTTCTTTTTTTTTTTTTTCATTTTTTCTTATATCTTTCCCCCAATCTTTTTTCTGCCTTTCCTGGTTTTTAAATTAACATATTTTTTCTTTTCCTTTCTTTTTTTCTTTTTTGAGACAGAGTCTCACCCTGTTGCCCAGGCTGGAGTGCAGTGGTATGATCTCAGCTCACTGCAACCTCCGCCTCCCGGGTTCAAGCGATTCTCCTGGCTCAGCTTCCCAAGTAACTGGGATTATAGGTGCCCACCATCACACCGGGCTAATTTTTGTATTTTTAGTAAAGATAGGGTTTCGCCCTATTGGACAGGCTGGTCTCGATCTCCTGACCTCAGGTGATCCATTGCCTCGGCCTCCCAAAGTGCTTAGATTACAGGCGTGAGCAACTGCACCTGGACAAATTAACATTTTATGTGATTCCTTTATATCTCATCTCAGCATATTATTTATATTTTATTCAAAAAATTGTTTGTAATTGCCCAAGAGTTTACAATATACATTTCTAGAAAATTTAAGTCTATCTTCAAATATCACTCTGTGGTTCCACAGGTAATGCAGGTAGCTTGTAACAGAGTATTTTCAATTCTTCCTTTCTGATCCTGTGATATTGCTGCCATTTATTTATCCTATTCATATGTTACAATCACCCAATACACTGTTCCTATTATGGCTTTAAACAAAGTTATTTTTTGATCATTTAAGAACAAGAAAAATAAAATATTTTATTTTACCTTTCTCTTCCTCTAAGACTTTTCTTTTCTTTATGTAGATCCAAGTTTCAAAACTACATTTTTCATCTTTCTAAAGAACTTCTTTTAATATTTCCTATAGGGAAGGTCAGCTGGGAATAAATTCCCTCAGATTTTATTTATCTGAGAAGGTCTTTTTTTCTCCTTTACCTTGAATATCAAATTCTAAGAAGACTTTTTTTTCAAAACTTCTAAATAATTCACTCCTCTCTTCTTGCTTTCATGGATTCTGATGAGAACTTAGCTATAATTCTAATTTTTTTAATTTTTTTTTTTTGTAAATTTAAGATGACTTGTTTTCTCTGCCATACTTCCAAGCTTTCCTAATTGTCTTTTGTTTTCTGTAGTTTGAATATAAAATGCCTGGATGGTTTTGTTGTTTTTTTGAGTTCTCTGAGATGCTTGGGTCTGTAGTTTATTGACTTTAATTAATTTTGGAAAATATTTGGCCATTATTATTTTAAATATTCTTCTGCACCATTCTCTTTCTTCTTCTGGGATTCTAATTATACATATGTTACATTAATTGATATTGTCCCACTGATCTTGGATGGTCTATAATTTTTAATTACTTTTTTCATTCTTTCCTCATTTTCCATTTCACTCTGTGAAATTTCAGCTCACCTATCTTTGAGTTTATGGATCCTTTCCTTGCCCATGTTGAGTCTACTGATGAGCCCATCAAAGGTATTTTTAAATTTTCTTTTACTGTTTTGGAATTCTAGCATTTTCTTTGGATCCTTTCTTACAATGTTCACCTCTCTCCTAGCATTACCCATCTATTCTTGCATGTTGACTACTTTTCCCAAGAGAGTCACTAACATATTTATTATGTTATGTTAAATTGCCTATCTGATAATCCAACGTCTGTATCATATCTAAATCTGATTATGTTGATTGCTTTATTTCTTCAGACTATACTTTTTAATGTTTTTGTCTCTTGACATGACCTGTAATTTTTTGTTGAAAACTAGACATGTATCAGGTAATAGGAAGAGAGGTAAATAGGCCTTTTCAGTGAGGATTTATGTTAATCTGGTTAGGAGTTGAGCTGTATTTAATGTTTATTGTGCCTAGCTACTAGAGACTTCAGCTTTTTCTAGGGCTCTTATTTTTAGCTCTCCTTTTGGATTTGGGCCTTCTTTTTGTATTACTCCTCAGAGAAAGTTTGTTTCTTTTAACTTTGCAGCTGTACATCACTTTCATATAATGCAGACTTACAGATGTGGGGGAGAGAGGACATTCTATAATCTTCTGATTAAGTCTCAGTCTTTTATTGGGCTTGAGTCTTAGGAATGTGGCCTTCACGAGTATGTTTCTCCCTACTCCAACAGTACAGCTTTGTTTCCCCTGTCACTACTAACCTCCCTGGCTGCAGCATTCCCAATCTACTTCGAAGTCCTATCTCATAAAGCTGATAGGGGCTGGAGTTTATAGGAATTCCTTTCCCCTAGCCAGACAAATGTTCAGAGTTGTGCAGTGGTGAAGTAGCATGATTTTCCTTGGAGAGCAGGCCTTTATTATGGAGAAGGCTTTGGATGAACTTCACCTGGCTGTTCTTCCCTTCCCCTGAATGGTGCCAAGAGGGGATCTTTCTCATATCTTCACTATGAGAATCTGGTGGGATCCCTGCAAGAAAAGTCCATAAAAGTGTGGGGGCCTCTTTAAGACAGTTTCCTATTTGTCTTTTGTTTTCTGTAACAAAAAAATTCAAACTGCCAGAATGTTCTTACTCTTTGTAGTCTATATTCAGCCTCCAGCAAGTCCTCAAAATTACAAGTTATATGTCTCTACCAGTCTATGGCTTTAGCAGCTTCTTATCCAGGTAAGCAGATCTCATCTGTGACTCCATCTACTCATCTGTCTTCTCAGATTTCAAGGTGGCAGCATAACTTTTGTTGTAAAGATGACAGTGATGACTTCTAAGCTCAATACATATCGGAGCTGAAACTGAACGTCTGTTTAACTTTCAAAAAAGGGCCAAACTAGTTGCAAAATGGTTGTTCCATTTTACATTCCCACTGGCAGTGCATAGAATTCCATTTGGTTTACTTCCTAACACTTGGAATAGACAATCTTTTAAATGACAGACAATGTAATAAGTGCTGCCTTATTTTTATTTTAATTCTGATTTCCCTAGTATCTAATTATATTGAACATCTTTTCATGTTATTATTTGCCATCATGTACATTCTTTGGTAAAGAGTCTGTTCAAATAGTTTTCCTATTTTTGGTGGGGGGAGCAGTGTTTGTTGTTTTTATTGCTAAGTTCTATATACAAGTCCTTTATCAGATATGTGATTTACCAATATTTTTTCCTACTCTGTAGCTTGGCTTTTTATTTGCTACAATATATTTATAAAGGAGTTCTAAATGTTGAAGTGTAACTTATTTTTCTTTGCATGAATTATGCTTCTGGTGACATATGTAATAAACCTTTGCTTAGCCGACATCAAAAAATGTTCTTCTATGTTTTGTTTTGGATACTTTATAATTTTAGGTTTTACATTTAGGTTTATGACATAGTAGAGTTAATTTGTAAATATGTTGAAAGTTAAGGATTGATGATCATTTTTTGGTATGTGGACATCAAATTGGTCCAGCATTATTTGATGAAAAGACCATCCTTTCTTCACAGAATTGCCTTTGAACCTTTTCCAAAAATTAGTAGTCCATATATGTTTGAGTATTGTATCAGTCCATTTTCACAGTGCTATAAAGACATACCCGAGAATGGGTAATTTATAAAGGAAAGAAGTTTAATTGACTCACAGTTCCGCATGGCTAGGGAGGCCTCAGGAAACTTACAGTCATGGTGGTAGGCAAAGCAGAAGCAAAGACCTTCGTCACATGGAGGCAGGAAAGAGGGTGTGTGAAGGAGGAACTGTCAAACACCTACAAAACCATTTGATCTCATGAGAACTCACTATCAAGAGAACAGCATGGAGGAGCCACCCCTGTGATTCAATCACCTCCCACCCAGTCCCTCCCTCCACAAGTGGGGATTATGGAGATTACAATTCAAAATGAGATTTGGGTGGGGACACAGAGCTAGACCATATCCAATATATATCAGATATATTTCTGGAATCTTTATTCTTTTGCATGAATCTATCTATGTATCTTTGAGTCAATGCCAGCATGTCTTGATTATTGTAGCTTTTTGGTAAGTCTTAAAGTCTTTGAAGTAATTCTTGTAATTCCTCTCATGTTGTTTTTCTTTTCTTTTTTTCTTTTTTTTTGTTTTTTGAGACACAATCTTACTCTGTCACCTAGGCTGGAATACAATGGCACAATCTTGGCTCACTGCAACCTCTGCCTCCCAGGTTCACGTGACTCTTGTGCTTCAACCTCCTAAGTAGCTGGAATTACAGGCGTGTGCCACCATGCCTGGCTAATTTCTGTATTTTTACTAGAGACGGGTTTTTGCCATGTTGACCAGGCTGGTCTTGAACACCTGACCTCAAGTGATCCACCTGCCTCAGCCTCCCAAAGTGCTGGGATTACATGCATGAGTCACTGTGCCCAGCCTCATGTTGTTTTTCTATTTCAAAGTTGTTTTGGCTAGACTAGCTTCTTTACAGTTCCATTGTGGATTTTAAAATTTGCTGCCAAATTTCTATTTTAAAAAAAAGCATGTTGTAATTTGGATTGGGATTTTGTTGTAATTATAGGTCAGTTGGAGGAGAACTAGCATCTTAACAATATTAAGTCTTCTGATCCATGGACCAAATGTATCTTTCCATTTATTTAGATATTTTAAAATATCTTTCAGCAATGTTTTGTAGATTTTAATGTACAGGGCTTGCATGTATTTTTTTTTTAGATTTATTCCCAACTATTTCATGTTTTTAAATGTTTCTGTAAATGGTAAATTGTTCCTAATTGTTCTTTACTATTGTATAGACATACAACTGACTTTCGTATATTGCTTTTGTGTCCTGCAGTTGCTAAACTTACATATAAGTTATAGTAACTTTTAAAAATATCATCTACATTAAATTCTACACTTTGTGCAACAGTTTTATTTCCTCCTTTCCAATCTAGATGCCTTTTTTGTTTGTTTGTTTTTTGCACATTGAAATGACTAATTCCCTTAAGTACAATGTTCACTGTGTTGAGAGTGGTCATTCTTTTCTTATTTCTGACCATAGGGGAGAAATGATTCAATCTTTCACGAGTAATTTGATATTTATGTTAGCTAGAAGTTTCTTGTAGCTGTCCTTTATCAAATCAAGAAAACTTACTTCTATACCTAGTTTGTTGAGTTTTTTTTTTCATAATTGAAAGAACATAGTATTCTGACAAATGCTTTTTCTACATGTATTAAGGTCACCATATGTTTTTTCTTTTTTTGTTTGCTTGCATTAAGAAATATGTTGATTGATTTTTGAGTGTTAAGCTAACCTGGCATGCCTGGAATAAAACTGGTCATGATTTATTATCCTTTTCATATATTGTTTAATTTGATTGGTTAACATTTTGTTAAAAAATTTTGCATCTATGTTTATTAGGAACATTGGTTTGCAGTTTTCTTTTTTTTAAAATGTCTTTGCCTGGATTTGTTGTTGGAATAATCCTGAAATCAATGCATAACTTGGTAAGTATTACAGTATTATTGCCTCTTCAAGTATCTGGAAACACTGGTATAGGATTTGTATTGTTTCTTTCTTAAATAGTTGATAGAATTTATCAGTGAAGCAATCTAGGAGGTTTCCTTGTGAGAATGTTTTGAACTACAAATTAAATTTTTTTAATAGATAGAAGGCTATTTAGTCTTTATCTCTCTCTTCTTCACTGAGCTTTGGTAGTTTGTATCTTTCAAATAATTTGTCCATTTAATCTAACTTTTAAAATTTATTGTCCTGATTTAGCTTGTACAATTTCTTTAGTCTTTCTTCTAATATGAAACTCCAATCTGTAGATACATTCTAATATTCTAATATCTGTAAAATCTGTAGTGATATCACTGCTTTTATTTCTGATATTGGTAATTTATTTTCTCTTTATTTCTTGAACAGCCTGGTTAGAGATTTATAAATTTTATCGATCTCATTTTCTTGTGGGTCTGTTTATTGAACTCAATTTTATCTTGATCACTTCCTTTTTTCTGTTTACTTTGGGTTTCATTTGCTTTTCTTTTTCTAGATTTTTAAGATTGAAGCTAAGACCATTGATTTATGACCTTTCTGTTTTCTAATATGAGGAGTTTGACATACATTTTTCTAAAATTATTATTCTTGCTATCTTCCACAGTTTTTATATGTCCTGTTTTCATTTTTCCTTAGTTAACACATGCTTTCTAATTTCCCTTTAAGTTTATTCTTTGTCCATTGGTTGTTTAGAAGTGTGTTATTTCATTTTTAAATATTTGGAGGATCTTCCAGATATCTCTTTGTTGTCAGTTTCTAATTTAATTCCATTGTGTTTAGATAATATGTTTTGCATGTCTTGAGTCCTTTTAAGTTAATTGAAATTTGTTTTATAGCCCAACCTGTGGTCATTTTGGTAAGTCAGTTTTGAAAGTACCATATTATGAATTATTGCAAGCAACGTTTTCTTTTTATTTTCCTCATCCTCTGTTCCCACCATTAAGAAAAAAAATAAGGGAAACATTTAAAAGATTTAGACAAATATTTTCATTTATTTATTTTATATATTAAGAAAGCATTTTGTTGTGACATGATTTTTCTTTCTTTCTAAAAGCTTACTTTGATCAGGATCTGGAAGAATTATCAATAAAAAATGAAAACTCACTTTAGATTATATTACCCTCAAGATACCTGCTAATATTTTTGAGTCAACATATCTTATCTCCTTTGAAATTTGGCTCTTTCCTTTCTTTTTTGGAGTCTGATACCACATGTGGGTTTTCTAGCATTTTATGTTGGCATCTAGTGTTACATGATCTTTTCAGAAATATAAGAGTGGCATTTGTTCAGATAATAATCCCTTCAGCTCCACAGCAAACAACTTTCCTTGGAAATTTTAACCTAACCTTACTTCCCAATCATGACTTTTCAATTTTTCCTGTCATGTATTCATTGCTTTGCTGATCTATAACCTTCCCAAGGTTAATATTTTATTTCTTCAAGGGAAATATAATTCAAGGGGACTTTAAGGTGTCTTGCAGTTTTCTTGTTTCATAGTAGGACTATTACAAGCTATTTTTATAGTTTCTTTTGTTTTTTAAATCTGAAGTCTTTATTAATACTAATAGCATAACTTGCGAGAAGTTCTTAAAACAAGAATACTCCTGTCATTCAAGACTTTCTCTATGAAACTATATACATAGAGATTTGAGAAAAAAAAGTCTGCAAATATGGTGTGGTATTCAAAATAAAGCCTTTATATGAATCTAAGATAAACCTGTTATATGAATAGCATATATAAAAGATAGGAGTCTTTTATATGTGATATTCATACATCTTTTTATCTTCTGCATTAATGTTAATAAAGCCACCACAAACCCGGTGTGCATTAATACAAGTATTATTGATGTGTGTGAATATATATTACTTATAAAAACACAAAGACAGATTCAAAGTTTACTTCAAAGTGAACTGCATTCACTTCTGCTAGTGGGAGTAAGTCATGCTTTTGATCTTATCTCTAGGATCCAGAGAATTGCTGCAGGCAATACTACATAAGAAAAGCTTCTTCAAAAAAGATTTACAGACTGTATTCCTATTTTTCTTTTTTCATGGTGTTATTTCATTCACCAGCTCAAATTCTGTAGAATTTAAAAACTAATGCCACTAAAACATTTGAACATATAGCACTATTTTAGTGTCTTTTATCCTCAAATTAAATAAAGGTATAGAATCAGTATCTTTAGGTTGTTCCTTTAGTCTCATAAGTCAGAAAGTTCTCCTTGCAATAGAGATGTTGTTATCTTGAATCTCACAAAATTCAAATGACCAGACAATTTTTTTTTTTTTTTTGAGACAGAGTTTCACTCTTGTTGCCCAAGCTGGAGTGCAATCTCAGCTCACTACAACCTCTGCCTCCCAGGTTTAAGCGATTCTCCTGCCTCAGCCTCCAGAGGAGCTGGGATTACAGGCATGTGCCACTATGCCTGGCTAATTTTTGTAATTTTAGTAGAGATGGGGTTTCTCCATGTTGGTCAGGCTGGTCTCGAACTCCTGACCTCAGGTGATCCTCCCGCCTCGGCCTCCCAAAGTACTGGGATTACAGGCGTGAGCCACCATGCCCGACCCAAACAGACAATATTTTTCATGCATCTACAACATTTAAAAATTATTTGTGATACATTTTTATTAGAAATAAGCAAAGTATAGCATATAAATGTTTCCTGTGTTGTATCATTAGAGATGACCTCTGTTAATGTTTTGATTTGTAAACTGTTATAGACAGATAGATGCTTCTAGTCATTTATTAAAGTAGCTAATAAATAGGCTTACTAAATTCACCAAATTTCTAATATCTTTATTCCTCCTATTTATCTGGCATAACACATCCAATATTTAGCAAAGATTGTTGTTTCTACCTTTTAAATGCAGTAGTCCACTCTTGTCTGCAGTTTTGCTTTCTGTGGTTTCAGTTACCTGTGGTGGACCCAGTTTGAAAATACTGCATACAATAAGCTATTGAGAAAGAGAGAAAGAGAGAGAGAGAGATCAAATTCACATAACTCTTATTATAGTATCCTGTTATAATTGTTCTATTACATTATTAGTCTTTGTTAATCGCTTACTGTGCCTAATTTATAGGTATATACCTATATACCTGTATAGGAAAAACCATAGTGTAGGGTCCAGTATTCTTTGTGGTTTCAGGCATCCACTTGGGGTTTTGGAACATATCCCCCGAACATAAAAGGGAACTGCTGAATATCTAGCACCTAACCAATTCCGTACACCAATCCACATCCTAGTCTAAATCATTGTCATCTATCAGTAATGCAATAGCCTTTTAGCTGGCCTCTCTGCTTCCATTCTTGACTGCTACAGACCATTCTTCACGTAGTCATCCAGTGAGTATTTTAAAACATAAGTTATGTGGCTCTTCTGCTTTCTTCCGTCCAAAGACTTTTCATGTGACTCAAAGTAGAGGCATCATTACAATGGCCTAGAGGAACTGCATGATTAATTCTTAGCCATTTCATAACCTCAGATCCATTGTGGAAACAGTGGAATAACGGCAATGAAATTAGAAAACAAAACACAAAATTCCTGTTTATCGTACATGCTGTGGCTGAAAGAAAATTTATAATACCTTTGAGCACCTCCCTATCCCCAGCCCCAAGTTCCTTGGGGTTTTTAAATTGAATTTCACAGCTTTTCTGGGACCTGAACTCCCTTGAAACTTGAGAATGAAGTGGTTGTTCAGGTTTTTGTGCCCAGAAGGAGGGTTTCTTGGCTGAGGAATACCTAAATAAGCTTTGAAGAAAGGTGTATTAATCTACTTGAACTACCATAACAAAATACCACAGACTGAGTGGCTTAAGTAACAGGAAATTATTTTCTCAGAGTGCTGGAGGCTAGAAGTCCAAGATCAGGGTGCCAGCAGGGCTGGTTTCCGGTGGGGCCTTCTCCTTGGGTTGCAGAAGGCCACCATCTTGCTGTGCATCCTCACGTAGCCTTTCCTGTGTGCTCTCCAGGAGCATCTCTTGCTCTTCTTATAAAGATGCCAGTCCTATGGGATTAACTCCCCACCTTTGTGAACTCACTTAACCTATAATACTTCTTTACTGTATCTCAAATACAGTCACGTTGGAGTAGGGCTTCAATATATGAGTTTTGAGGGAACACAATTCAGTCCATATAACAAAAGGCTTTTGCATAAGGAAGTGAGGAGGAGTCTGAGAAAGCAGTCTGACAGCTGGGGACTAAGAAAGTGCCTGCCTGGGTGAGGGAAGCCCACAGCAGATGGGCATATTGGTGCTAGGAACCTCAGGAGAAGGTTGGTAAATCTCCTACCACCTGTGCTTATTTCCCCAGACTTTCAAATCTAAGCAGCTGCTGTTTATCATTTCTCCCTCCTCTCATCTGGCAAAAAAACTTGACAAAAGGCACAGGCTGTTCACCCTGAGCGTTCTTTAAGGACGCAGTTTCCCCTGCCTAGCAACACAGAAATACCTGGGGAGAATGTTGTAATTGTAGACCTTGGAGACCTACTTCAGACCTACTGAGTCAGAATGTCTAGGGTTGGGGCCCCAAAAGTAGAAGCCAAACCAAGTATCTGAGGTGTTATTACACACAGAAAAGTTCCAGAACCACTGAAGAGTTTTGGACAAATCACTATCTTGCTATGTTACATAGTTTTAATTGTAGTTGCCTTCCTGCCTGCCTTGCTTTCTTCCTTCTTTCTTTCCTTCCTTCTTTCTTCTGTTTGTTCCTTCATTTTTTTCCCACTTAAAGTCTCCAGTAAGGACTTTAAAATAATATGTGTATTTTATAGAAAAATCAAGTTAATATTCTATTTATTAATGTATCTACAGTAGCTGTCAGAGTATAAAAAAATGAATCCTTTGTAGCAGCTTGGGGTGAGGCGAAAAGCATGTCAGAGAAGGGTTACAGATCATAGGATTTCTGAATGGAAAAAGCAAACCAAAACATGATTAGAGTAAGGCAGCGTTGTGGTCAGAAGATGCTGGTCTCACCATCAGTTAAGAGTATGCAGTTCCGGCTGGGCGCGGTGACTCACGCCTGTAATCCCAGTACTTTGGGAGGCCGAGGCGGGTAAATCAAAGGTCAGGAGTTTGAGACCAGCCTAGCCAATATGGTGAAACCCAGTCTCTACTAAAAATACAAAAATTAGTTGGGCGTGGTGGCGGGCGCCTGTAATTCCAGTTACTTGGGAGGCTGAGTCAGGAGAATCGCTTGAACCCGGGAGGCGGTGGTTGCCGTGAGCCGAGATCATGCCACTGCACTCCAGCCTGGGCGACAGAGCGAGATGCAGTTCCTTTATTGAAAACAGTATGGAAAGCTTGGAAAGGAAAAATGAAACAAAAATGTATAAGGTACCTTCCGCTTTTCTCTCTCTCTCTCTTTTTTTCTTCTAGTTCCTGTTTGTGTTTAGAAGCCCTGAGGCAGAAGAGTTCCTCTGTGGAGGAAGTAGCCTCCAGCTTGTGCATTTGCAAGACTTCAGCTTGTTGATAAGGGCTCCTTATCCTCAGGAGGGTTGGATGAGTTACTTAGAAGGAACATTTTTTTTTTTTTTTTTTTTGCCTCCCAAGCCCTAGGGCTGGTAGTATCAAGCATCACAGATAAACAAGTAATACTTTTCATCCAGGAAGATAAATTTCGGTTTAGAAAAGTAGTCTAATCAGTTCAAACCGAGTCACTGTGATTACTAGAATTCCTAGATATCATGTTTGATTTAAAAATAGCTTTTCTGACACACCCTTCCAATCTTATGTTATTGCAAAATTGCATTATTGCAAAAAGGCTTTCTGATATATGGATTTATCCAAGCCCCTTAAGCATAATTTGGAAATGGGATGAGGCAGGAGTGGAGGCAATATCTCCTGCTCTTTTGTTGGCCCAGAAAAAAATAGAATTTCAAGTGATTTGGCTATCTGAGGGAGCTTCTCTTTGCCCTGTCACCTAGCTCTCATGACCTCAATCCCACTCATTAATTGCAGCCCAAGCAGCCTGTCTGAAAGCTGTCAGCTTAGGGTTTATCCCAGGGGATTCGTTACAAAGAATCAAAGATCGTGCATAACTAGCTAAGACTAAACTCCAGGCAAACCATAATTACACAGCTGGGGTCCAGAGAGAATTATGCATATGGACACATTGCCCCAGGTCTTCCAGACTTCCCAAGTCATCAATGCAGGGGATTCCAGTGGTTCCGTCATTCAGGGTATGACCTTCAGTCGGGTTGTTTCTCTGCACTAATTTTCTCCCAAAGACGATGTGTCCAATATGTTGCCTTTTGAGTAATCTTCCTAAATAATTCTTTTGATTAATGGACTTCTTCTTGTCTAGAAATGGAATTCCTAACATCATTTCAGGCATCTCTGACTCTAAAAATGTACGTCACAGACCAGTGGTGTCAGCAACACTTGGGGAATTGTTAGAAATGCAAATTCTTATACCTCATTCCAGGCCTACCAAATAAAAATGTCAGAGAGTGGAGCCCATTGATCTGTGTTTTAACACATCTTCAGGTGATTCATACCTGCTAAAGTTTCAGAAGCACTGATCTAAACCCTAACAACCCACCTATCTGAACTTACCATATTCCATTTCCTCTCCGCTTATAAATTTGACCATAGTTACCTAAATTATCTCTATATTTTGTTATCCCTTCATCTGTTTATGGCACTTCTTTTGAGGACTAAATTCTTATTTATTTATTTTTATTATTTATTTTTTCGAGAGGGAGTTTCGCTTTGTCGCCCAGGCTGGAGTGCAGTGGCGCGATCTCAGCTCATGGCAAGCTCCGCCTCCCGGGTTCAGGCCATTCTCCTGCCTCAGCCTCCTGAGTAGCTGGGACTACAGGAGCCAGCAAGCCTGGCTAATTTTTTTTGTATTTTTAGTAGAGACGGGGTTTCACCGTGTTAGCCAGGATGGTCTCGATCTCCTCACCTCATGATCTGCCCGCCTCGTCTTCCCAAAGTGCTGGGAATACAGGCATGAGCCACCGCGCCCTGCCATTTTTTTTTTATCTTGCCCAAATTCCTGTCTAAGAGGTTTGAGGAGTCATGTCCTACAAACCATAAATTATCATCAGATGGGTTTTATGTAACCCCATATATCGTGATTTACTTTCCAACCTGACTCTGTCATAACATACCAGACAAGGAAGAAAATAAAAATATTTTACCTCAAAACATGTTTCTTTGCCATATCTTGAAATGGCCCTGCAAAGCTATCCTTTGTGGGGGAAAATTTGCATCTGTAAAGAATCTCTATTAATATAGAGATCTTTTTTTTTTCAGGTCCTTCCACTTCTAAAGAGATTAACTAGGAGTCTAGCACCTTTTAAAGATCTGAATAGAAAACATTTGTCATCTATTGTCTCTAAGGGCAGCCACTATAAGACCTTGGTCTCCACAATCTTTTGTCTTAACCTGAATATTTCCCAAGTCTTCTATCATTCCAGGTCTTCAGATGAACTCAACCAATGTCAACCAGAAATGTTTAAATTTACCTATGACCTGGAAGCCCCACCACCGCTTCTAGTTGTCCTGCCTTTCTGAACCAAACCAATGTATTTGATTGATGTCTCATGCCTCCCTAAAATATATAAAACCAAGCTGCGCCCTGACCACCTTGGGCACATGTTCTCAGGACCTCCTGAGGGCTGTGTCATGGGCCATGGTCACTCATATTTGGCTCAGAATAAATGTCTTCAAATATTTTACAAAGTTTGACTCTTCCTTGACATTTTTGACTGGAATATTCTTTTTTTTTTTTTTTTTTTTTTGAGACGTAGTCTCTGTCGTCAGGCTGAAGTGCATTGGTGCGATCTCGGCTTACTGCAACTATTGCCTCCTGGGTTCCAGTGATTCTCCTGCCTCAGCCTCCCAAGTAGCTGGGACTACAGGCACACCACCATGCCCGGCTAATTTTTGTATTTTTAGTAGAGATGGGGTTTCACTGTGTTGGCCAGGATGGTCTCCATCTCTTGACCTCGTGATCTGCCCACCTCGGCCTCCCTAAGTGTTGGGTTTACAGGCGTGAGCCACCGCACCCATTCTTGACTGGAATATTCTTAAAGGCCCAGCTCAAATATTATTCTTTTCTCTCCAGGTATTGTTTTTTTAACCTCTGCACTATTGACATTTGGAGCCGGAAATGATTTGGTTTTTCTTTGTTTGCTTATTTATTTTTAGAGACAGGATCTGACTGTCACCCGGGCTGGAATGCAGTGGCATGATTGTAGCTCACTGCAGCCTTGAACTTCTGAGCTTAAGTGATCTTCCTGCCTCAGCTTCGTGAGTTAACTGGGACTACAAATGCACACCACCATGCCTGTCTAATTGAGATAATTTGTCACTGTGGGCAGCTATCTATGCATTCTTAAGTAGTAACCCCCTGTTGTGACTATCAAAAATGTATCCAGACATTACCAAATAACAACTAGGGGAAAAAAATCTCCCTTGGTTAGGAACCACCGGTTTACCCAGTCATTCTATCATTTACTCCATATCCCAAAGCCAGACTAAATTTCTCCATTCTCTGTGCTTCTAGAGAAATTGGGCTTTATTCTTTTGCTAAATCAGATTCAGAGAGTTGTATATTTTAAATAAATAAAAAAGGGTTTACACACACACACATATACATACATAGAACTTCATCTTTTGTAATGCCACTTATGTCACTTATTCATTAATGCAAAAAACTAATCATTTACCATCCTTCAGGTGTCACATAACCTGGCATACTTGGTTTCCTAGAGCAGAAAGATTAGAGTGGGAGTAGTTAGGAGCTGTTCTTCAACCTTCCTGGAATATGAGATAGACACCGGAAGTGGGAATTAACCCATGATATGACTGGGAGATAAAATCCAGTTAAGTGGGCAGAATAAGGTGGCTGGGGCACAGGGCATGGGACAATGGGATGGTGTGTCAACATTGAGGGTGTTTTATGTGTCAACATTGAGGATGTTTTTGCATAAGATTAACATTTAAACAGAAGACTGTCCTCCATAGTGTGGGTGGGCCTCATTCAATCAATTGAAGGACTAAATAGAACAAGCAGAAGGAATTTCTTCAGCCAACTGCCTGGAAGTGCACCTTTGGCTTTCTTGCACCTCTAGCCTACTGGCCCACACTGCAGATTCTGGAATTGCCAGCCTCCAAAATCATGGGAGCCAATTCTTTGTAATAAATCTGTATTTCTTTATATACATATACACATCCTATTGGTTGTTTCTATGAAGAACGCTGACTAGTACAGAAATCTGTCGAAAGTTGGTAGTTGAAGCTGGCAGAAAGCATCAAAGGGTCCAATACAGAAGAATAAGGTTTTATTGAACGTCTTGGGGGACATAGCCATAGAGAGTCCAGAAAGAGGAGGCATTTAGAAATTCAGACAGTTAATTGACATCAGTGTAGTCTTTTAGCAGGTAGGAATGCCTCCAACCCTCTTTTATGGATAAAGAAACTGGCAAATGAGGTATGAGCCCAAAGACTTGCCAGGATAGTAACTTGGATCAGGAAACACATGATGGATTGAAGCTTAGATTCCTAAAGAACAAGTTAGATAATGAATAAAGAAACTTTTTATTACATGATATTGGATATGTCATAGTTGTTATAAGAACCGGTAAGCAGTAATTCTAATAGTGACTTTTGCAGATTGAACACTGGAGTCAGAAAATCAGAGCAGCTGTTCATACCTGTCTGCATAGTACATGATGATTTATCAGTGATAACCCTAACCTATTACTTTTGAGAGGAGACAGTAATTAGCTGCTAACTTGTTGTTGTTCCTGAAAATGTCCTTGTAATTTGTAAAATCCCAACCGATAAAGCTCTCCTTTTTCTGGGAAAACAGAAAACTCACATATTTATTTGTTCAAAGCATTTTCTACAATTAATGTATTCTAATTTTTGACTTACGAGGGAAAAAATCCATCTCTATATCATAGCCTAAAATATTATCAAAGATCACTGTTAAATATCATAAAACTCAATTATAATTAGACATATTGAGCTCAATAACAATATTGCTCTCTTGACTACTTTGAACTATTAACAATATATTTCTGAAGTAGTTATCTTATTTGTAATGAGAAATTATTTCCAGCTTCACACTGCTTTCTTTGTCTACAATAACAATGACAGAATACCAACAAATACCACTATTTGTTGCTACCACTCTATGCGCTACCACTTTCCTTTTTCTCCACCTATTTAGTCATTTTTCTCTTTAGTTGGGGAATGTTATAACAATCACTCTTCCCTGTTGTCACAGAATTTTAAAAACTTGTCCCCAGACTGAAAAAAACAAGCAAAAAGATTTTGAAAGAATGATAAAAATACAGATTCCTGGGCCATACCTTCAAGATTCTGATTCAGGAAATCTGGAATGGGCCTAGGATTTGCCTTTTCACCCAACATGTTAGGTAACTCTGATGCAGAAGATTTAAGAACCATGGCTTGAGAATCATTAGTGTAAGCAGTAGTCCCTGTTCCTAATATACTGTTACTAATATACTAACAATATGCAGCAGACAAAACATCAAACATTTTGGTATAAACATACTGTAGGTAGAGAACATAACTACAAAGGGAAAAGCAACTGGTTTTTACCACTGACTTGACTCTCTTTTTCTCCCTACTCCTTTAAAACCCTTCTGTTTCTCTTTTTCCTTTCTTTCACAGACTCCTCAAAGTTATAGCTGTTTGAGAAGACTTAAAATACCTAGCAGAAAGACTCCACCACTTCAATTCTTTTGAATTATTACTTTTATTAAGTTTGGGTACCAAAACTGATACTAAAATATAACTTCAAATTATTAATTAAAACAACAGATAAAATATTTAATTTTCAAAAAAAGGCAATTCATATACTCATTTTTCAACCTGCTTGATGCTATTCAAGGAAGATTTGTATATTACTGCTCCACAAATTTAACATCGTAAGTTTAATGTGTGGGAGGAGCACATTTCAGTGTGTAAGCCAGAATGATTACTTGTAGGAAAAGAGGAAGAAGATTCCTGAAAACTCCATGCTCCTAATGTGAGCATGGTACCAGGCCAAAGAACGCATAACACTTCCAAGAAAAACAATTAGCAGCAGGCAAAGCCAGAAAAGCATTAGCAATGGAAAAATCACAAACACGAAGACACAGACAGTAGATTGAGAAATTTTCAGGGCAGTGTATGCCTACATAATAATATATTTAGATACATTGAGTACTCCAAAGCAAAATAATTAGTTCACTGGGCTTAAGAGGAGATGGTAGGCACTACTGAGAGACAGGACTAGCTGGATTTCCTAGGCTGACTAAGAATTCCTAAGCCTAGCTGGGGAAGGTGACCGCATCCACCTTTAAACATGGAGCTTGTAACTCAGCTCACACCCGACTAATCAGGGAGTAAAGAGAGCTCACTAAAATATAAATTAGGCTAAAAGCAGGAGGTAAAGAAATAGTCAATCATCTATCACCTGAGAGCACAGAGGGAGGGACAATTATCCGGATATAAACCCAGGCATTCGAGCTGGCAGTGGCAACCCACTTCGGGTCCCCTCCCATTGTATAGGAGCTCTGTTTTCACTCTATTAAATCTTGCAACTGCGCACTCTTCTGGTCCGTGTTTGTTCCACTTCCAGGTGAGCTTTTGCTCGCCGTCAACCACTGCCGATCGCTGCCGTAGCAGACCTGCCACTGACTTCCACCCTTCCAGATCCGGCAGGGTGTCTGCTGCACTTCTGATCCAGTGAGTTGCCCATTGCCGCTCTGGATCAGGCTAGAGGCTCGCCATTGTTCCTGCATGGCTAAGTGCCCGGGTTCATCCTAATTGAGCTGAACACTAGTCGCTGGGTTCCACGGTTCTCTTTCATGACCCACGGCTTCTAATAGAGCTGTAACACTCACCGCATGGCCCAAGATTACATTCCTTGGAATCCGTGAGGCCAAGAACCCCAGGTCAAAGAATAAAAGTCTTGCTGCCATCTCGGGAGCGGCCTGCCACCATCTCGGGAGTGGCCTGCCACCATCTTGGGAGCTCTAAGAACGAAGACCGACCAGTAGCAGTACTAGGAGAGAGACAATGTTAGTTTTTAAGAACAATAAAGATAGTCTGTGTATTAGTTTGCTAGGGCTGCTGTAGCAAGGTGTAACGCACTGGTGGCTTAACCAACCGAAGTGAATTTTCTCATGGTCCTAGGGACTAGAAGTCTCAGATAAAGGTGATGGCAGGTTTTTTTTTCCCCCTGCCTCTGAGGCCTTTCCTCGTGGCTTGCAGATGGCTGTCTTCTGTGTCTTCACAGTGTCTTTCCTCTGTACTTGTCTGTGTTCAAATTTCCTCGTTTTATAAGGATACAAGTCATATTGGACTGTGGTTCACTCGAATGGTCTTATTTTAATTTAATTACTCCTTGAAAAACCCTATTCCCAAATATGGTTACATTCTGAGGTACTAGTGTTAGGACTTCAACATATACATTTTGGGGGGACATAATTCAGTCCACAACAGTCTGTCACAAAGGTGTGTCTTCTAGTATCACCAAAATACGCACTAGCTAGGTAAAGATAGCCTTGAAACTCGAGTCTTTCGTGAATTGTGAATTCTTTCACTTCAGTTTTAGAATATCAAAATTCCTGTCAGAGTTATTCCAGTTGCAGCTTTCTCCCACTCCATCCTGCTCCTGTCACTTTGTCCAACAGAAATCTTGGCATAATAGAAGTTTGGCTCCCACAGACAGGCAACAGGGCAGGAACAGCACATAAGACTTAATTTACTGTAGCCAAGCATTTAGACAGCCCAGCAATGCCGGAAGATTGATTTATTGCCAACAAACTCACAGAAGTGCCATAGTGATGACTTGTTTTATAGGGCATGATAAAAGTTCATGGTTATGTACACTGTGCTATCCACTGTCAGTGGGGGGGTAGAAGGAAGGATAATAGATACCATTTGGTCCTCTGCAAAGAAGTCTGGAGATTCACCAAGCCCTTCTAATGTGCTAAGTAATGTGTTAAGCCTCTTAAACACACAAATACCTCGTTTAATCCAAGCAATAGACTTCTAAAGTTGATAGGTTGTTATTACCATTTTACAGATTTGTAAAGTCAAGGTTTAGTAACTTGCCCAGAGGCATCTAGATTTTAAAAACAGCTTTATTAAAGTGACAGACAATAAGGTGCACATATTCAAAATGTGCAATCTGATACATTTTGACATGTGTATACATCTGTAAACCACCAACACAATCAAGGTATTGAACTTATCCATCACCCTCCAAAGTTCCGGCATGTGTCTAACCCCTCCTTCCTGCAATCCCCTCTCTCAACACACATATCCCCAGGCAGTCACTGATCTGTGCTCTATCACTGTACATTGACATGCATGCCCTGGAATTTTATTTTGATTCAACTTTATTTCCCTTGTTGTCTTACTGCCTATAGCAGGGCAAAAGTAGGGCTTACCTTGTTCAACTTCTGTCTTTTGTAGCCTGATGTCAGTGTCTTGAAGAACATTTACTTCACATGTTTTGTCTGGTTTTAATGATTGTTTCAGGTAGGAGACTCAATCTAGTCCCTGTTACTCTATCTTGACTGAGAGCTTCTGACTACCTGTTATATAGATTTTAAGTGACAAAGTGGAGCTGGAAGCCAAGTCTCTCCTGTCTACTACCATATACTGACAGTCACGATCAGAACAAAGGGGCCTGGACCCCCATTTCAATGTCCCTCAGCCTGACACCACCTTTCTGTGATTTTTATTTCCCAAAATACTGTCCCTTGGAGTTTATTACTGCCCTCTATATAAATTCATATGTCAGCATACAGTATTCTTTTTCTCTATCCTCTATTTAAGACCAGTCTTGGTTATACGTTGGGTGTGATTAGTAATTAAGTGAGAAATTGCTAGAAAATAATGTCATTTTGTGACTCTCTTAAGGGTCCAATTAGACTGGGAAAAATAGTGAAACTGCAAAAAATCAAATAAAATAAATAAAAATAATTAAAAAGTTAGCTGGGTGTGGTGGCACACACATATAGTCCCAGCTACTTGAGAGGCTGAGGCAAGAGGATCACTTGATCCCAGGAGTTAGAGGCTGCAGTGAATGTAACTAAAAATTTTATTAATTATTCAAAAAATGTTCTAAAGAAGAAAACTATGTTAGAAATTGGTTAAACATTATTTAATCAAACACACACACTGACTGCAAAAATATCTGTAAAAAATGAAATTTATTATGTAAACATTAGAAATATGTCTTAAATTCAGGTATAATTTTTATCTGACGGACTTGAGAATTTATATTTTATGGTTCATTACAATGGTTGCCATTCACAGATGCAAAAACACAACTTATCCCCTCTAAGAGGAAAACTCACATATTAAGAATCTTCTCATTGTTTGATTTCCAAATACCCATGTACATGAGTATTTTTTTAAATGGCAAGCTTCTCTATTTCTACAGAAACTCAAACAACAGGTACCTCTGAGCCCAGGCTACCATCTGTAGTCACACATGGATTTTTACATGTTCATAGAGCTGAAAAGCATTTAACGAAACCTCTTTTATTAAGGCAGTGAGGAGGCCACAGATAAGTTGTGTTTTATGGCCTTCATTGTTACTGATTCCTTTGCAAAAGTTGTTAATGACTTATTTTTGAACATACATATCTTTGGCTGGGTGTGGTGGCTCATGTCTGTAATCCCAGCACTTTGGGAGGCCGAGGCAGGTGGAAGATCAGGTCAGGAGTTTGAGACCAGCCTGGCCAATATGGTGATACCCTGTCTCTACTAAAAATACAAAAATTAGCCGGGCGTGGTGGCGTGCACCTGTAGTCCCAGCTACTTGGGAGGCTGAGGCAGAAGAATCGCTTGGACCCAGGAGATGGAGGTTGCAGTGAACTGAGATCATGTCACTGCACTCCAGCTTGGGTGACAGAGTGAGACTCTCCAAAAAAAAAAAGAAAGAAAAAGAAAATACTTATCTTTGGGCTGGGCGCAGTGGCTCACGCCTGTAATCCCAGCACTTTGGGAGGCTGAGGTGGGCAGATCACTTGAGGTCGGGAGTTTGAGACCAGCCTGACCAACATGGAGAAACCCTGTCTCTACTAAAAATACAAAATTAGCTGGGTGTGGTGGTGCGTGCCGGTAATCCCAGCCAATTGGGAGGCTGAGGCAGGGGAATCACTTGAAACCAGGAGGTGGAGGTTGCATTGAGCCGAGATTGTACCATTGCACTCTAGCCTGGGCAACAAGAGCGAAACTCCAATTTATTTTAGAAAAAAAAAAAAGAAAATACATATTTTTTCTATTAGAGTAATTGAAGCTGTTAGTTTGAGAAAAAAAATAAAAAAACAAGAAAAGTATGAGGCAAACTAAAAAGGCAACTACAGAGCCACAGGACAGATGCGTTGTGAAAATGTTTGGTAATATAAGTTAGAACATAGTTCAAGCCTCTGTTGGTCACGTACTGGTTTATAATATTAGACAGTGACTATGCCTCTTTTAACCTTGAGATTGATAAAAGGATGAAATAAGGTAATAGATATGAAGGCACTTTGGAAACTGTTAACCATGATAGACAGAGTAATTAAAACATTTTTCGACCTGATGTATTTTAAATTTCATTAAGTCAGAGAATGTCTAATTAACCACTGTATCCCCAGCATTATCAAGAGTGCCGACCTATGGTCACTTCTCAATATATATTTTTTGAATGAAGGAATAAATACATGGTTGCACAAATCTCATCTCTTGCCATTCCCTACCTCTCATGTTCAAGCCCAGCCACACATATCAATTTGCCAGTTCTGAGCCTTATCTCATTTTTTTCTGACTTTGGCCCCCTTGCACATAGTATCTTCTGTGCCTGAGTGCTCCCACTACCTTCATTGGCTGGCTGACACCCTCTTTCAAACTCAGCCCAGGTGTCAACCCCTTCAGGGAGCTTTCTTTTACTGTCCACCAACTGAGACTTGCACTTCCCTCACTCCACTGCACTCACATTCTGATGCAACTCTGCCACTGGGTTTCACAATGCTCACTTCTGCCCCAGGCACGTTCACTCTTTTGTTTCTCTGCCAAGCCTTAAGCTTCCAGAGAATAGACTTTTAGACTTGCATCTTAAAAGGCTACATATGGTGTGTGGCATTTAGACAATGGCCAATTCAAAACCATAATAATAAATAATTATTGAATAAACAAACTCCTTGATGGCTGGAATAATCTATTTGACATCTTTAACATCTACTAAGTTTGGTGCAGCTCTAAATAAGAGACACTAAGTTAATATTAAATAGCTAATTCATTATTCATTTATTTTACTTAATACTTGTGAATAGCTTCCTATTCTATTCCCCACTTTGTGTAGCTTTCTTCTTTTTATTATACTTATGCATCATAAAAATCTTGTACTAGTCCATTCTCATGCTGCTATAAGGACATACCTGAGACTGGGTAATTTATCAGGGAAAGAGGTGTAATTGACTCACAGTTCCATAGGGAGGGGTGGCCTCAGGAAACTTACAAACACGGTGGAAGGGGAAGCAAACATGTCCTTCTTCACAAGGCAGCAGGAGGGAGAAGAATGAGAGCAGAGTGAAGGGGGAAGCCCCTTTTAAAACCATCAAATCTCGTGAGAACTTACTATCACAAGAATAGCACAGGGAAAACTGCCCCCTTGATTCAATTACCTACCATTGAGGCCCTCCCATGACATGTGCAGATTATGGGAACTGCAATTTAAGATGAGATTTGAGTGGGGACACAGCCAAATCATATCATTCTGCCTGGTCCCTCCCAAATCTCAGGTCCTCACATTTCAAAACACAGTCATGCCCTTCCAACAGTCTCCCAAAGTCTAAACTCATTCCAGCATTAACTCAAAAGTCCAAGTCCAAAGTCTCCTTTGGGACAAGGCAAGTCCCTTCCACCTATGAGCCTGTTAAATCAAAAGCAAGTTAGTTACTTCCTAGATACAGTGGAGGTACAGACAGTGGGTAAATACATCAATTCCAAATGGGAGAAATTGGCCAAAACAAAGGGGCTACAGACCCCATGCAAGTTTGAAATCCAATGAGGCAGTATTTAAATCTTAAACCTTCAAAATAATCTCCTTTGACTCCATGTCTCATATCCAGGTCACACTGATGCAATAGGTGGGTTCTTATGGGCCTTTGATACCTCTGCCCCTGTGTCTTTGCAGGTATAGCCCTCCTCCCAGCTGCTTTCATGGGTGGACATTGAGTGTCTGCAGCTTTTCCAAGTGCACAGTGCAAGCTGTCGGTAGAACTAACATTCCAGGGACGAGAGAATGGTGGCCCTCTTCTTGCAGCTCCACTAGGCAGTGCTCCAGTGGGGATTCTGTGTGGGGGCTCCAACCCCACTTTTATGCTCTGCTTCCTCTTGAATGCTGTGCCTTTTAGACTTTTTTTTTCCTTCCCCACCAGATGCCCTAAATCATCTCTCTCAAGTTCAAAATTCCACAGATCTCTAGGGAAGGGGCAAAATGCCACCAGTCTCTTTGCTTAAGCATAATAAGAATCACCTTTATTTCAGTTGCCAACAAGTTCCTAATCTTCACCTGAGACCACCACAGCGTGGACCTTATTGTCCATATCACTATCAGCATTTTGGTCAAAACCATTCAAGGAGTCTCTAGGAAGTTCCAAACTTTCCTGCATTTTTCTATCTTCTGAGCCCTCCACACTTCCAACCTCTGCCTGTTACCCAGTTCCAAAGTTGCTTCCACATTTTTGGGTATCTTTACAGCAACACCCCACTTCTGGTACCAATTTACTGTATTAGTTCATTCTCACACTGCTATAAGGATATACCTGAGAGTGGGTAATTTATAAAAGAAACAGGTTTAATTGACTCACAATTCCAGAGGACTAGGGAATCCTCAGGAAACTTACAAACAAGGCAGAAGGGGAAACAAACATGTCCTTCTTTACAAGGCAGTAGAAGGGAGAATAATGACAGCCAAACAAAGGGGGAGGCTCCTTATAAAACCACCAAATCTTGTAAGAACTTACTGTCATGAAAATAGCATGGGGGAAACCACCCCCATGATTTCAATTACCTCCCACTGAGTACCTCCCAAAACATGTGGGGATTATGGGAACTACAATTCAAGATGAGATATGAGTGGGGACACAGCCAAACCATATCAGATCTCTATACAAGGGAAATATTCTGCAGGATGAGAAATGCCAAGGAATAAAAAATGAAACTAGTAGTAATGTAGATATTTATGTCCTTAACAATTTTTCTATTTTAAAAGGCTCAAAGAAATATTAAAGATAGGTAGACATTTCAAGTGCACTTTTACATCTCATTTTACCTGAAAATACACTTTTCCTAAAAGTCAGTAATTTAAATACAAACTGCTAGAAGTGCCCATCCTTTTTATATCCATATATATATATATATATTTTAAGGCAGTTCTTAGTGTTCTGTATCAGTCTTCATATTGTCTTCCTTTCCATTTGAAAAAAAATAGTAATACACTTGGTTTGTGATGTTTTAACTCTAAATTTATAGCTTACATTTTACTTATGGCAATGGTATATGTGTGACATATATATGAGATATATATATAATGTATATTGTATATATTATATATGTAATATTTTAAGTTACTTGCAACTTCAGGATAAATGATTTTCTTTGCAAGGATATTTGAAATCGGCCAGGCACGGTGGCTCACGCCTGTAATCCCAGCACTTTGGGAGGCCAAAGCGGTGGATCACGAGGTCAGGAGATCGAGACCATCCTGGCTAACACAGTGAAACACCGTCTCTACTAAAAATACAAAAAACATTAGCAAGGCTTGGTGGCGGGCGTCTGTAGTCCCAGGCACTCAGGAGGCTGAGGCAGGAGAATGGCCTGAACCCGGGAGGTGGAGCTTGCAGTGAGCTGAGATCGCACCACTGTGCTCCAGCGTGGGCGACAGAGCGAGACTCCATCTCAAAAAAAAAAAAAGAAGAATATTTGAAACCTACAGAAAACAGATATTGAAAAAGCATGTTAATGAGGAAGTATTTCTTCCTTTGTGATACATTTGTAATATGTATTGTAATTATTGTCTTCCCTAAGTTTGCCAAGACGATTGTAAAAAGTTCCAAAAATCTGAAGGGTAGCCAAATAGTATCTTCAGTTCTAGCCTCTGACAGTCTGTGTAAATTTAGTGACAATTTAAAATGGCTAAGAATATCTAGCATTCACTGCTTGAAAACAAAATCTGTTAATACAATTTTCAGTTCTTAGATGTTTCACTAGATGTGTTTGACATTCTTTGGCAAAACAGGAAAATTAATTGCTTTTAATGTAGGTGAAAGGATACAGAATAGCATACATATAAGATTAACAATGTAGAGATCTAATGTACAACATGAGGACCACAATTAATAAAATTATAATTTATTGAGGATTTTTGTTAAATAAGTAGACTTCATCTACTCTTGTCACCAAAAAAGTAATTATGTGAAACTATAGTTATGTTACTCTTTCACTATAGTAACCATTTTACTATTTATATGTATCCTCTGACTTCATGTTGTAAACCTCAAATACACACAATACAATTTATTTGAAAAAAAGCAATTAATTGCTTTAAGAACTATAGAATCATAAGATTGATATAATTCAGTAGGGTGATTATCTAAAAATGATTTTTAAAATTTTTATACCTCAATTATTATTCATTCAGCTGTAACCAAATGTGACATCTTAGCTATCTTTAAATAAAATTTGTTTAAAATGTGAAGCATAGCCCTAATGATTTCTTAATAACAACTTTTAAATCTACTGAGACAGTTAGTAAGACAAAGTAGTTTAAAATAAAAATTTAAACCTTTAAAGAAACTCTGTGACAACTCTGACTAGGACTGAAATACATTGATCCCATTTTGTGCTAATGTAAGGCTAGAAACTTTCTAGGCATTTTCCATGATTTTCCACTGAGGTTTCTGACCTTTATCCAACACAAGAATTAAATCTCCAAAGTGCCGAAATTTTTCCTCTCGTTTCCTACCTTGCACAAAAATCCAAATCAAATGCTTGTCCCAAATGGCCCATGTTGTGATTTTACATAAGGCTGAATTTTCTGGCCCCTGTACATTTGGATTAACTCCTGAATGGGCACAATTGTCCTGAATTAGTGTGAAATATATTGGCTCATTGAAATATGTACCCTTTGAGGCATTTTCTTTGCTAGGGGAGCTGATATTAAGTAGGTCTTGCTATTTGATATTATTAATGGCATTTTAATGTAGAGTCAACCTCACTCATAGGTCTCGAGTGACCCTTAAAAAAGACCCTCACAAGAATAGAAATGTAAATGGATTGGTAGAATGAAGAAACTATGCTCCTTTCTACTCTCTTCATAGTGGCCCTCACTTTCATCTTTCATTTCCCTTGTCTACAGTGTACCCTCAGGAAATTCACCTGTGATATACTGACCATAATAGCATTAATCAGAAGAGTAAGAGATACTTATATGAAATAGATCTGATCATTTGGGCTAAAAATATGCATATTGGAATAAGATGTTTTATCCCTTCTTTGTACCAGTTTTAAAATCACCAAAACTACCTTCAAAATGATCATTTTTAAATAACAAAGCAATGGAAGTACGTTTTATCCTCAAGATGTGTGATTTTACTAAAGGAATAATAAATATAACAATTCAGCACATGGGCTTATATGACACTAGATAAAATACAACTAATGTGCTGAGTAAATTATGTCCTAAATATGAACGTATAAATATAACCTGGAATGAACCTATACTGATTAGTGCAGTGAAATGGAATAAAGGCTTCTGTACAAGAAGTAATATATTGTAAAACTGGAGAAAAATCTTGGAGCCTGGTTGCTATGACCTGAATGTATCTGTCCCCTCAAAATTCATATATTGAAAACTAATATCAATGCAATAATATTAAAAGGTGGGGACTTTGGGAGGTGATTAGGTCATGAGGGCTCCGTCCTCATGTCCTTCATCCTATGAAAGAGGTTTATGGAACCCACTGTGCCCTCCTACCATGTGAGGACACATAGAAGACACTGTCTATGAGGAATTGACCCTCACCAGACAATGAATCTGTTGGTGCCTTGATCTTGGACTTCCCAGCCCCCATAACTGTGAGAAATAAATTTCTGTTGTTTATAAATTACCCATTCTAAGGTATTTTGTTTTAGCAGCAGGAACAGACTAAGATACAGGACCTTCAGTCCCAAGCGACTTTTGACTTTATTTTTTAGGTAAGGAAAAAAAACCTTTGCGCAAAGAGTGACATGATCAAAGCAGTCAAGTATTTCACAGTCCTCAGCAATCTTCAAGTTCAACAGGGACTTTCTGTCATGCTGTGAAGCAGGATGCTTTTAATTCATACAGCTCTGGAAACCTCATGAAAGCACTTGATAAAGCTGATCATTTCAAATTGATTTTAAAATTCAGAAGTGCCACCTTGGGATTAATAGGTCTCCTTCAGTTTTAATCTCCAGTAAGATCCCAGCAGCCACAGCTTGCTGAGATAGATGTACACTTGAGGTGAAAATGAAAGACAGTGGGAGAGTTCACACGCTACACAGCAGAAAAGGTTGAGAGCGAGAAGTCAAGGTTAAGGGATGTGAGCAATGTCGACCTACTCACAATGAGAGAGGGAAGATAAAACCATGGTATATAATGACATAAGGAGATATTAAACAGAAGCCAGGGAGCCATTATTTCTTCCTGACAAGGGGAAAGGAATAGGATATAATGGTCATGTGCTGCAGTCGGGGAGTATTTAAGTCAAATACTGAGAAAATTTCAGCTTAAAGAACATTTAAACAAGTATTCACTGGAGGATTGAGAAACCTTTTTAATACTACATATTCAAGACAGAAACTTGGCATTCATTCTTCAAGAAAGATTAAACAGTAGTCCACTGCCTGCTAAACTGACTGGATGTCTTTTCATTTTTTAAAAAAACTTTATATTTTATTATGGGAAGGTGGAGAGGGAGGGAGGCCACACAACATCAACCAAATGCTTATAAACTTTCTCACAGTGTGGTTTCGATTGTGCTATCACTAACTAAAACAGAATTCATAAGCAAAGACTGTGACATTGTGGAGCTTCAGTCAGTGAGTTAAAAAAATTAGCACAAATGCCCAGTAGGAACATTAGACACTGAATGAATATAAGCCTTGCAATTTTCAATATCTTCTTATCTAATTTGATAGTATCTTTTCATCCACTGGTGGTTGGCATAAATCTCAGACTATAACTTGGGCATAAAAGAGGAATCCCTTTATTTTCTATTACCATTTAATTTCTGACTTTGTTATTTAATGGGCCACCAGAAAATGTTAACCTCAGTTCCTCCTATGCCTCTTTCTCTTCTCCAGGTTTGGACCATGTTTTCTGAGGCCTTATGCGTTGCCTCTGGCTCTTGGTCTCTGGTCCACCCTGAGGGTTACTCAATGTCAGTTGTTCTGGTCTGCATGAGATATTGTTCCTGTCTGCCTACTCTTTCAGGTCAAGAGACTCTTGGCTACTCCTACTTCCAGAGGAGAGAGGAGCAAAAAAATGTGAGGATCTCAGTCCAAGTGAACAGCCTATGTGATATCCCTTAGATAGGAAGGATCATAGACCTGCTGAGAAACATAAAGAAGGCCAAGGTGGCTAGAGCTCAGAGAATCAAGGAAGAAAGACAGAATAAGCCCATGGGCCTATCTGTTTACCTGCTCCCAGGATGTCACTGCATGCTTCCTGACTCTGCCTGCTAGTTACACTACTAGGGGACAGGCCCTGTTTCTGACTTCCAGAGAACCATAGCCCAGGAGAATTTGTTTCTAGGACTACGGGACAGGTTAAGCCCCCATCTACCTCCTGCTTCTCCAAGACATTTTTTTTAATTTCCCCAAATCCCCCCTTTCCTCATTACTGCCTTCACAATCCTTGTAGTATTTTTCTAAGAGTTGAGATGTACCACATACCTCCTCAGAGTCAATGTAATGAAGACTCATTCTAGTTGAAGGGCAGGAAGGGAAATATATGTAGGAAAAAATGTATGTTAATATCTCCACATATTGTCCAACCTTCATTTAACAGCAATAATTGAGTGCCAACAATATGCCAGGCACTGCGCTGTGAATACAGAGATGAGCTAAGTATTTGCCATGCCTTGGGGCTTCTCATAGTCTTATGGGATAATACAAGAAAGAAAAAGGATTAATATGAGAATAAAATTATATTCAGAGCACATTTTTATGGGCTTATTTAGATTTTTGAATTTTAGCATTAAATGGAGTCAAACTACTAGAAACCCTTCAGACCCTGTTTTTACAAACGTAGATTCTGAATGTCATGGGATCTTGGATATCACTTTACTTCTTATGTGATATCCAGACACCCTTAATATTACCAAGAAGTAATCATACAATCATTGCTTGAAGATTTTCAGTTTCACATAAGTCCATTTAGTTTTTTAACAGTTCTTTTTCTTAGAATTGTCTTTCTAATAATAATAATAATATTAATAAAAAAATACTCCTTATAATTTCATTTGGTGGTCCTTACTCTGCTCTCTGGAGCCAAACAAAATAAATCTAAGTTCTCTGACATTGTGGAAGTCTTATAATTAATTATGGAGCTATGTTTGACACTAACATATTTCTCAAGAATTAAGTGCTTAACTAGATGGCCCCCAAATTCAGACATTTATCATGATGATTTGCCTAGTAATGCCTCATAATTAATGTTTAAGAAATTGGATGTGGTTTATTATTCTTTTTTGCATATTACTACATCATATAAAATGCATTATGATGGATGTTTTGAATTAGTATCATTAACATATTCACTTATGGTAGAATAACTTTACTTGTAACCAGAGATTCACAATCATATGTATAATATTTATGCTTTTGAAAATGCACATATATTTTGCTCAACAATTTGGAAGGTGCAGTAAATATAGTAAATATAGCTCAAATATAGTAAACATTAAAAAAATACACTAACCTGTTGCACTAATAAACACTAAAGGAAAAAGTCAGGGAGTTAAGTCAGGGATACCCATGGTGGTAACAAATCTGGTGTAACCTCATCAGGGCAGGAGGTGTGGACCCTTAGTTTTGCAGTCCCAGAAACAAACTTGTTAGCAACTCCAAATTGAATACGTTCTTGGAAATGCACTTTCATTAACCAGATTGTCAATATGTGAGAGGATGTGTACTTCAGAGACCATAGCCCAGAAGCATTTGTTTCTAGGAGCAATGAAATAGGCTAAGTCCCTCTCTATCTCTTGTTTCTCTGAGACGTATTTTTTATTTTAAAGAATTCCTTTTTTCTTTATTTCTTTCACAACCCTTAAAGTATTTTTTAAAAGGTTAGAAGTTACCACATACTTCTCTGACTCAATGTAATAGAGATCCAGCTTCTAGCTGAATGGAAGAAAAGGAAAGGGGGGAAATGATATTTAGATTTTTGGTAATGTGGGATAGAGAAACTCAGTACTTCGGATTCAGGGTACCACCTTTTCTATCTCAGGGCATCCAGAAGGCCAAAGAAATAACCAGACGCTATGAGAAAACGTTGAGACTGTAACAGCCCTCGTAACTGTGAAGGAACTGAGAAACCAAAGAATAAATCGGACAAATTCATTTTGATGAGTAGATGAGTTGATTAGGACCTGCATACAGGGCACTTCTGGATGGCAGCAGGACAGCTCTAGAGTTCAGCACTACCTCCTGTGTCCAAACTGGTTTTAAGCTAATTTTCTGGCTCTTTGCCTACATGTTTGAGCGATTAGGCTATTCACTTTGGTAGGTTCTCAGATACTCTGGGATGTGTGGGTTCTCAGGGACACCTGCTCCTCATCTGGGCACCATGGCCCTGGCTCATCACTCAGGCTTCAGGGTTTAGGCAATGGGCATACACCCTTAGGTAGCCTGGTTGGGGATCCATCACACTACACCAGGATTTAGCGGAATTTAACAGAATCACTTATTCGTTGTCTTACCAGCTATTTGCTGTAAACTAAGGTTAACCTTAATGAATTCTTTTTGTTGTTTATTAAACTACTCCTCTGTAATGTTTTATGTCCACCAGATAAGACACATATCTGGACAGTGCTAGATATACATCAATAAATTATTATTGCCCAATTGTTTGTTTTTGTGTTCTTCATGCAGACCACCTCCCTACTTTTAACTCATCATTATATTAAGCAGATAACAACTCAGATTCCTCCTCCCATGGTTAAATTGTAGCCTTGAGAATGTATTCTGGTCACCATAATTTGATTGAGGAACTCCATGTTTTTATTACACTCAAGAATGACTTGATCATTTTGCAAAAGTCTTGTTAGTCTCATTAAATCCCTTTCACATACTATCTTATAGATGGCTGAGCCTATCCATTTATATTGATTTTATTAGGTTATATTTCAAGGAGTGAGTTTTCTGACCTCACCCTGTGAGTAAATTAAATAAATGATTACAGAGTCTTTCTGGGGATTCTAGCGAAAATCAACACAAGTCCACCAAAAAGCTCACTGGGAAATTTGTGAAAGAACTGCCGTTTAAATTTTGACTCATCAGGCTTATCGCTCATTCTTTCATTACATTTTTTTCTTGAAATCTCATCAAAGATTAGTGTAATCTTATCTAAAGGGTCACATAACAAAGGAAATAGTAATAACCAACATTTCTAAAGTTGGATGTTTAGGATTACCAAGCACTGTAATACATACTATTTCCTTTGATCCTCACAGCACTGGTGGATTATGATGTTTAGTATCTTCTAAACTTTAGAATAGAAAAGTGGTCCTTGAAATGTGGCTTCCACACCAGCAACATCAATATTACCTGAGAGTTTGATAGAAATGCAAGACCTTGGTGCTCTCCAGGAGTACTGAATCAGAAACTCTGTTGCTTTGTTTTGGTTTGTATATATCAGAATAGTTTTTCTCATTATAAGGCATTCAAATCTTTTGGGCCTAAGGATGGTGGGGGCTTTCCTACAAAATTGCCTTCCCCTCCAAAGAAGACATCAATTGTATTTGCTATTCAGCATTCATTCACCATCTACTTTCCCCTACTTCCTTCTGTGAGATGCTCCCATCCTCATTTGCTTTAAGTGAGCTACAATCCACAACATCCCCACCCACTGCCTCTGGAGTGAGCATTTTTAGCCAAGCTAATTAGCCTGTCATGTCTCCTGGACACAGTAATTGGTACATGGACAGGGCATATGACCAAATTAAATCTGAAACATTAAGTATTTTGCTAGTTTGTGCTCCTAAGTATACATACTAGGGAAATTTTCTCACAGATCCACAAGGGGCCAAGTGTCATGATGTTTACTGCAGTAATATCTGTTTTATTTACTGATGTGTCCCAGGTACACAAAACAGTGCCTGCTGCAGTGTAGTGCCCATGATATTTATAAAAAATAAGTTGTTTGTGGCAAGCAGAGTTGGAGGCAGCCTGACTGTCATTGAGAGAGAGAGGAAAAATATGATGGATGCATACTGTGGGGTGTTACACAGCAAATAGAGTAAATAGATGTTCGATAGTAACATAATTGGAACTTAAAAACATAGTGCTTAGCAAAACAGTAGGATATATAATAAACTATGTAAATTAAAACACAGTTATACAAATAGTATGTATTTTGCAAAAATACAATACAATAAACAGGTATACAAACGGTATTGGTACATATGATAGAAAATATATAGATAAATACACACATAATACTTAAAGCAAGGAGTCTTGAAAGGGCCAATGTCGGTGTGTCATGAACTGAAAGGTATGCTTGACTCAAGCTCAAGGACCTGAAGTTAAAAAAATTGCTAGGAATTTTGAGAAAGTAGTTCCTCTCTTTCATGAAACCCAATTAGGATATAACCCTAGGAACAATAGGAAAGGAGAAACTGGAACCTGATTACATCATGAAGACCTTGCATCCAGCCTTGCTAGAAGTGTGTTTACAGGCTGGGTATGTTCAGTTACTGTTCTGTACTCTTCCAGCTCCATTTCTTGTTGCTGTTGTTGTAAAAGATCATTTGAGTATGGTTTTTTAAAAAAGCTTATAACCAAGAAAATACTGAGCATGTCTTTTTTTGTTTTCCTCAATCGACTTGTGAAAATACTATTCTAATCTTCTGTCTCAATTCCACCATAAACACACTCATGCACATGGTGAGGCAATCTGATGTTGATGCCTTCACCTGTCTACTACAACTGCTTTTATTGTTACCAGTAATCCCTAATCAGGATATATGTTTGATGCCTTCTTAAAACGCTCTCCTATCATTTAACTGATTGTTCATCCTCAGGCATTTCTACTGGATCTTTCTTAAATATAATGATTTTCAGTCCATGGTAGCTGGAGATAAATATCTAACCAACTGTGTGTAACAGGCACTGTAAATCGGGGCAGATGTACCAACCAGTGAAAACAGCCACTGGCCTGTAAACAAAGGAAATCATCTGTTTGTGTAGCGCTGGGTCAACTTCAGCCTGGGTGGAAAGTATTTTTATTAATACTATTCTTGTTATTAAGCTCCGAGGTACTGTATTAATTCTCTCTGTTTTACATTTTCTATCACAACTAAATTATCCAATGAAATAAATAGCTTTACTATCACTTCAAAACTAAAGACTTCAAAATCTGTATTTCTTTTTTTCACTTTCAAAGACTTATTTTTAACTGACATGTAATAATTAGACACATTTATGGGGTACAATGTGATGTTCCAATACATGCATACATTGTGTAATGATGAAATCAAAGTAATTAGCATATCCATCACCTCAAACATTTATCATTTCTTTGTGGTGAGGACATTCAACATCATCTCTTCCAGCTGTTTTGAGATACACACTACTTCATTGTTGAACACAGTCGCCTATGACACAACAGGACACCAGAATTTATTCTTCCTTTCTAATTGTAATTTTGTGCCCATTCACCAACCTGTCCCCCTCACTCCTTTCCTCCTCCCCTTCTCAGTCCCTTGTGTCCTCTGTTCAATTCTCTACTTCCATGAAATCAACTTTTTTAGATTCTACATATGAGTAAGAACATGTAGTATTTGTCTGTCTGTGTCTGGCTGATTTCATTTCACATAATGTCCTTGAGGTTCATCAAATGGCAAGGTTTCATTGTTTTTTTTATGGCTGAATAGTATTCCATTGTGTAAATATACCATATTTTCTTGATCCATTCATCCATTTTGAACATTTAGGATGCCTCCCTATCTTGGCGATTGTTAGTAGTGGTACAATAAATATGAAAGTGCAGATATCTCCTTGGCATACTGATTTTTTTGTAATATATTATATATATATAAAATACATATTATATATATTTATATATAAAATATACTTTTATATATAAATTATATATATATTATATATAATACATATTATATATATTTTATATAAAATATATATTATATATAATACATATTATATATATTTTATATAAAATATATATTATATATATAAATTATATATATAAATTATATATATATTATATATATATATATTATATATATATATATCAAGTGGTGAGATTGCTGGATCATATGGTAGTTCCAGCTTTAATTTTTTGAAGTACCTCCATACTGTTTTCCATAATGGTTGTATTAATTTACAATCCCACAAACAGTGTGTAGGAATTTTCTTTTCTTCACATCCTTGGCAATATTTGTTCTCTTTTATCTTTTTGATAATAACCACTTTAACTGGCATGAGATGATATCTCATTGTGGTTTTTTTTTTGAATTTTCCTGACCATTAGTGATGTTGAGCATTTAAAAATATATCTATTGGTAATTTGTATTTCTTTTGATAAATATCTGTTGAGATCTTTTGCTCATCTCTTAATAAAATTACTTATTTATTTATTTATTTGCTATTGAGTTGTTTGAATTTCTTATATATTCTGGATGTTAACCCTTTGTCAGATGTACAGTTTGTGAATATTTTCTCCCATTCCGTAAGTTGCCGCTTTACTCTGTTGTTTCCTTTTCTGTGTATAGGTTTTTAGTTTGATGTAATCCTAGTTGTCTAGTTTTGCTTTTTTGTCTTTGCTTTTGAGGTCTCATTAAAAAATCCTTGCCTAGACCAATGTCATGAAACATTTTCCCTATGTTTTATTTTAGAAGTTTCATATTTTGGGTCTTACACTTGCATCTTAAATCCATTTCAAGTTGAATTTTGTATATGGTAAGAGATAGGGGTCCAGTTTCATTCTTCTTCATGTTGACATGCAGTTTTCTAGCACCATTTATTAAAGAGACTGTCCTTTCCCTAATGTGAGTTTTTAGCATCTTTGTTGAAAATCAGTTGTCTATAGATGCATGAATTTATTTTGGGGATCTCTTTTCTGTTCCATTCGTTTATGTGCCTGTTTTTATGCCAATGCCATGCTGTTTTAATTACTATAGCTTTGTAGCATATTTTGAAGTCAGGGAGTGTGATGACTCCAGCTATTTTTTTCCTCAATATTGCTTTGGCTATTTGGGATTTTTTTCGTAGTTCCACACAAATTCAAATTGTTCCTGTTTGCAGACAACATGATCTTATATATGGAAAACCCTAAAGACTCCACCAAATACTTTTAGAACTAATAAAGAAATTCCATATAGTTGCAGGATACAAAATCAACAGACAAAATTTGGTAGCGTTTCTATACACTAATAGTAAACTATCCAAAAAAAAAAAAAATCAAGAAAACTATTCCATTTACAACAGCTAACAAAAAGCAAATAAGAATCAAGGAATAAATTTAACCAAGGGAGTGAAAGATCTCTACACTGCAAACCAAAAATCAATGATGAAAAAAATTAAAGAGGATACAAATAAATGGAAAGATATCTTGTGTTCATGGACTGGAAGAATGAATATTGTTAAAATGTCATACTACCCAAAGCTATCTACAGATTCAATGCAATTCATATTCAAATACCAATAATATTCTTCACAGAAATAGGAAAAAACAATCCTAAAACTTGTATAGAACCATGTAATTTGTATTTCTATTCCTCACTCCTGAATTCCAAACCTAAATTTCCTGCTAACATAGAGACATATACTAAGATTAAATATTTTTAAAGATTGAAATGTACTAAGATTGAACACTTTAACTCTTAGCATCCACTGAAATTATCTTTCATACTGAGTCTCTTCTCTGGTAATGGCATTACCAGTGACCAAGCCTCAAAAAACTAGAAATGCTAATCATTATTTTTTTCTCTTTTCTTCAACCTTTTACCCTCCCTCCACCCAAGCTAGTTTATCAGTAGCTAGGTACTATAGATTCTATCTTATGGCTTTTTAAATGTGTGTATCCTTTCGTCAAAAGCTCACTACTGTCATATTAATTTAAACCTCACAATTTTAAATCCATATTATATCATGAGTCATATGACAATCTCCCTACCTCTAATCTCCTGATTTTTTAATTCATCTTATGCACTGCTGTTGGAATTTCCCCCCTTAAATCACAGGTTGGATCATATCACATGTCACTTGTGGTCTCAAGTAATATTCAGTGGTTTCCTGTTGTCTACAGAAGTCTCTGTGCCCTTATGTAGTATTCCAAACCTTTCCTGAAATGGTAAAATAAGAAACTCATCTTCTCCTGCATCCTTTCAAGGAATTCTAAAATTCAGTCTTATTATGTTCATTGTCATCCTGGAGGGTAGAAGGAAATCCTAGGCTTCTATGACTTTTAAATACCATTTCTTGAGCTTGAATTCTTCTTCTCTTTATTTATAGAAGCCTTTTCTTTAAGGTCCAATTCAAGGTTACTGTTCCCATAAAGGCTTCTTGAATAATCTTGCTATAATGAATGACTTTTTCAATTATAATTCTATAGCATGTTCCTTCTGCTCCAACTAGCATTTATCCAAATTAACCTTGTAACATGACTTTTCCACTCACAATTATCCTCATGCCTACTCCATGAGAACCAGAGTCTAAGAAATCTTTTGATAAAGATTCTGTTTTACACAACTTTGGTTCTCAATTCCAAACACAGTGGCAAATATGCACCCAATAAATAATTAATTAAATTTAACATTTATAAATGTTTATAAAAACTTCCCAAATCATGGAATAATGCAAAGTATAAATAAACCTATAAACCTACATCCTCTAAAAAACCCTAAATATGTGTATACACAGAACTCTGCATATAATTTAATGGGATTTGTGGTGGACACTTGGACTCACCTACTAACATTTGTTCTAAACCCTTTCTGGTGTACAAAGACTAGAAAGCTTAAAATTATTTTTTGCAGACTCATTTGAAGCTTTTCAATTTCAGTTTTATAATTGCATTATCCAAAATATATTATCCATCATCTCTTCTTGTAGCCACTCTCAGATCCTGGAGTCAATCCTGACATTGCTTGATGGTTTCAGCTCCTGGCTTTCTTGTCATTCCTTCTAACACATCATATTTTGTAACTCAAATGATTTCAATATCCATGTAGATAATCTTTTCAATATGTTTGGGTTCACAGTTCCAGGGAACTTCCAACTTCTTATCTTTTTAGCACACTGCTTCTATTATCCCACTGCAGGAATCTTCTATGACTAAGACAAAATCCAATGATACTATCGATTTCCTGTGATTATTGCACAGTTCATCTTTCTAAGCACACTTTTTTTTTGTTGTTGTTGTTGAGCACACGTCAAAGTTTATTAGCTTTTTAGCAAGGGAATCTGAAAAGAGTGCCTGGTGCCAGGTCTGAGAGGGCATGGAAACTGGAGGGCCATATATTTGGGGAAGAGAATGCTTACATAAGCAGCCAATTTTTAAAATTAAGCAACTTATTAGATTAAAAATGCAGTTTCATTTCATATGGTCATAAAAACACTATGTTTGTAGAAAGGAAATCGGGAGCAAAAAGCCCAAGAAAGAAAAGCAGATGATAAAGAAACACCAGTGTTCATTAAGTGAATAACCAGGGTTTGGTCCCCTGATGATTCAATTCACATTGAAGCATGAGTGGTCCCCAAACAGCTCAGAAGCAGAGTGTGGAGGAGGACTGTCTTTGCACAGTGAATGCACATGTTGCAAATGAAGTTGAAGAGTCAAACCATTTGTCCGTTCTCTAATCTTGGGACAAATATTTTTGATACTTCACACAAAAGTAGAACCAGACAACTAGTAACAGTAAAAAACATTTTGGGTTTCCAGTTTCTAGAGTGATAAAACTATAAAACAAAGACCGGGCGCGGTGACTCATGTCTGGAATCCCAGCACTAGGCCGAGGTGGGCAGATCATTTGAGGTCAGGGGTTCAAGACCAGCCTGGCCAACATGGTGAAACCCCGTCTCTACAAAAAATATAAAAATTAGCCAGGCGTGGTGGTGGGTGCCTGTAATCCCAGCTACTCAGGAGGCTGAGGCAGGGAGAATTGCTTGAACCAGGGAGGCAGAGGTTACAGTGAGCCGAGATCGTGCCATTGCACTCCAGCCTGGGCGAGAGAGTGAGACTCCATCTCAAAAACAAACAAAAAACAAATGAACGACAATCCTCAACAATCAGATTAGTATTTTAACAATTCCATCTTGCAGTGTGCTGTGGAGATGTCTCTTAATGGGGAATTTGTATGTAACCCCAATTTATGCTGAATGTAATGGATTATGTAGATAGGGTATCTGATTTTTCCTGATACATTCCTGAATTTTATTTGCTATGTTTTTAAATTTTATTTTTCCTTTTTTTCCTATGCATACCCATTTATTTGCTATTTTTAAATTTAGGATGTATGCATTTAAAAATATTTTTGTCGGGTTTTGACCTGAAGTTCTAGGGCAGCACAAAATGAACTGGGAGAGCTTTGAACCCTGTTCTATTTTCCTGGAATTTAATTCTAAGCACACTTTTGCTTATGACTTCCACTGTCTCGGCTTCTGTATTCCTCTTTCATACTCACTTGGAAAAGTGCTAATGCCAATTAAATCCAACACTCTTTAAACTTTGCCAGCACTTGAGTAGTAAAAAATGATTGTAGAAAATCAAACAACAATGCTGACTACTCTTACTTAAATTCATGACCCTACCTGCACTCTGTGCTGCCTTGAAATTCTGCATTTCACCATTTTATTCACTATAACCTAGATGGAATAGAACATGCTTTCTTTTCTCAAGCCTCAAAAATGACTTTCCTCCATCCCCCACCCCGCATCCTCACCCTTAGTTCACTGAGAAAATATAGGCAATCAAGAAAGATTTTTCAAACTATCACCATATACTTGTCTCCTGCTAGATTAAATTAATTTCACTTGTTTTCTGTGACCTTTTGACTTCTCAAATATCTCCTTTACTTTTTTTTTGATTTCTGTCTGGCATCACCAAATTTTCACTCTATACTAATCATTAAATCAGAATATACACATTCTATATCTCTTATTTTAAGAACTCATTTGACCCACATCTTTTTCAGCTATAGCGCCTTGAACGTGGTGACTATATTTATTGTCTACTATTTCCTTTACTTTCATTTTCTCTTTTATCTACTCTAATCAACCTTCCATCCTCATAATTCTCCTAAGTTGTCAAAATCACCAATAATTTCAACACAGCTATATCTAATGGTCAATTTACTGTTCTTGTTTTATTTGACTTGTCATCAGTATACCACTTTCTCTTGAAACTTGTTCTTTACTTAGCATTTAGAGTATTACTCTTGGTGTTTTTCTTAGTCTCATTTGCTAGATTCTCCTCTATTCCCATAATGCTAAACCTTAGAGTATCTAAGGGCTCAGTTCTTGGGTCTCCTCCCCTCTCTGTCTTGACTCACTCCTAGGTGGTATTATCTAGTTCACAGCTTTAAAAATTTTGTGAATGTTGATAAATTCCAAATTTATATCTCCAGACTTGCCATCTCCCATGAACTCCAAATATACATCCAACCACCAACTTCACCATGAACTCCAAATATACATCCAACCACCAACTTAACATTTCTACTGGATGTCTGTTATGTTTCTTAAATTTAACATGTTAAAAATGGAGCTCTCAATATTTCCTTTACTCTAAACATGCTCTACTTTCCGTCTTCATCATCTCAGTTAGTGACAATTTTATCTTTTTAGTTTGTCAGGCTAAAAGTATTGATATCATTCTTGAGTTATAACTTTCTCTTACATCTGACAACAAACCCTATAGGCTCCATCTTCAAAATACATTCAGAAACTGCAACTTTCTACTTTTGTTGTCACTATCCTGGTCCAATGAATCGTAACTTCTTGACTGGATTACTATAGCCTCTTTACTCATTTTTCTATTTCTTTGCTGACCCAAATAGTTTATTTTCCAAAGAGCAGTTAGAATGAAATTATTCAAAATGTCAGTCAAATCTGTCACTATTTCCCTTGGAGCCTCTTAATGTTTTTGTATTTCATGCAGAAAGGCAGCTGAAGTTCTTAGAATGATTTAAAAAGCACCACCCAATCCAGACTACTCAGGACCACTCTAACCTCATAATCTTCCACTCACTCTTTTGTTGACTTTGCCCCTCCTCCACTGGACTTATTTGCTGATTCTTGAACATACCAAGCGCATTCCTGCCTTAGAGACTTTAAAAGCATTCTTTTTTCTTCCTAAAATATTATTTTCCCAGATATCTTTATGGCTTGCTTCCTTGCTTCTTTCAGGTTTCTTCTCAAATGTTACCATAATTACCATACATCATTGAGGTTTTGTTTGATAGAGGTATATAGAATAATAATTTGTCCTTTTCTAACACTGCTTTCCCCCTTATCCTAATTTTCTTAAAATCATTTATTACCACATGGCCTACTACATAAAGAATTTTACATAGTAAAATTTGTTTATTGCCTGCCTCTACAAAGAAGGAATTTGTTTTGTTCACTGCTGTATATCTAACACCTTGAATAGTAATAAAGTACATGGTAGGTATTGTAAGATGGGACAAATTAATGAATGAATCAATCAATCAGATACAATCTCCAAAAACATTATGACCTGAGTCATGTCGAGAGGGTGGTAAATAAAGCATTCTTATATTTTACTGTCTTAGATCATGACACAAGTAAAGTGTTTTTTTTTTGTTGTTTGTTTGTTTGTTTGTTTGTTTTAGAAGGAGTTTCGCTCCTGTTGCCAAGGCTGGAGTGCAATGGCGTGATCTCAGCTCACCGCAAACTCTTCCTCCGGGTTCAAGCGATTCTCCTGCGTCAGCCTCCTGAGTAGCTGGGATTACAGGTGTGCACCACTATGCCTGGCATAAGTTTGTATTTTTAGTAGAGATGGGGTTTCTCCATGTTGGTCAGGCTGGTCTTGAACTCCCGACCTCAGGTGATCTGCCCTCCTCGGCCTCCCAAAGTGCTGGGATTACAGGCGTGAGCCACTGCGACCAGCCCATAAAGTGGTTTTATACTCAGGAGCAGCAACAGCATTCAAATTTTCGGCCTTCCACATTAGTGCTCTTACGGTAGAGGCAGAGGGATTCTGGAAAGTGAGAATTGTTTCTCAGAACTTAGCATAGAGCTTGTTCCTTTACGGTTTCTTTTTTTTCTTTTTTAATTTTTTGTGGGTACATGAGATATTCTGATACAAGCATGAAATGTGTAGTAATCACATGAGTAAAAATGGGGTATCCATCACCTCAAGTGTTTATCCTTTGTGTTGCAAACAATCCAATTATAATATTTTTGTTACTTTTAAATGTACAAATTAATTATTATTGACTATAGTCACCCTGTTGTACTATCAAATACTAGGTCTTATTTATTCTTTCTAACAAGTTTTTGTACACATTAACCAGTCCTGCTCCCTCCCACCTCCCACCAAGCCTCATTACTCTTGCCAGCCTCTGGTAACCACCTTCTACTCTCTATCTCCATGAATCCAATTGTTTTAATTTGTAGTTCCCACAAATCAGTGAGAACGTGTTATGTTTGTCTTTCTGTGCCTGGCTTTTTTCCCTTAACATAATGACCTCCAGTTCTATCCTTGTTGTTGTAAATGACTGGATCACATTCTTTTTTATGGCTGAATAGTACTCCACTGTGTATGTATGCCACATTTTCTTTATCCATTCACCTGTTGATTGACACTTAGGTTGCTTCCAAGTCACTATTGTGACTTAGTCTTGCAATAAACATGGGAGTGTAGATTTTCTTTGATATATGTATTTCTTTTCTTTTGGTGATATACCTAGCAATGGGCTTGCTGGATTGTATGGTAGCTCTATTTTTGTTTTTTTGAGGAATGTCTAAACTCTTTTTCATAGTGATTGTACTAACTTACATTCCCAGCAATAGTGTACAAGGGTTCCTTTTGCTCCACAACCTCTCCAACATTTGTTCTTGCCAGACTTTTGGATAAAAGCCATTTTAACTGGGGTGAGATGATATCTCATTGTAGTTTTGATTTGCATTTCTCTGATGATCAGTTATGATGAGCACATTTTCATATACCTGTTTGCCATATATATGTCTTTTTTTGAGAAATGTTTATTCAGATCTTTTGCCCATTTTTAAATTGGATTATTAGATTTTTTCCTAGAGAGTTGTTTGAACTCCTTATACATTCTGATTATTAATTCCTTGTCAGATGGGGAGTTTGCAAATATCTGTGGGTTGGCTCTTCATGTTGTCGGCTCTTCATGTTGTTGCTTGTCTCCTTTACTGTGCAGAAGCTTTTTAACTTGATGTGACCCCGTTTGTTCATTTTTGCTTTGGTTTCCAGTGCCTGTGTGGTATTACTCAAGAAATCTTTGCCAACCCAATGTCCTGGAGAGTTTCCTCCATGTTTTCTTTCAGTAGTTTCATAGTTTGAGGCCCCAGGTTTAAGTTTTCAATTCATTTTGATTTGCTTTTTGTATATGGTTAGAGACAAGGGTCAAGTTTCATTCTTTTGCATATGAATATCCAGTTTTCCCAGCACCATTTATTGAAGAGACTGTACCTATTACACAAAGCAATCTACAGATTCAATGCAATCAATCAGTCTCTATCAAAACACCAATTTATTGGCCTATAGTTGCTGATAGTAGCCACTAATTATCCATTAGATTTCTGTGGTATCAGTTGTAATGTCACCTTTTTCATCTCTGATTTTATTTATTTGAGTCTTGTCTCTTTTTTCCTTAGTCTGGCTAAAATTTAGTCAATTTGGTTTATCTTTTCAAAAAACTAGCTTTTTTGTTGATCTTTTATTTTGTTTTCTCCATTTCACTGTCATTTATTTCTGCTCTGATCTTTATTATTTCTTCTCTTCTACTAATTTTTGGTATGGTTTTTCTTGCTATTCTAGTTCTTAAGATGCATTGTTAGGCTATTTTTTGAATTATTTTTCTTCTTTGATGAAAGCACATATAGCTATAAACTTCCCTGTTAGTACTGCCTTCATAGTATCTCACAGGTTCTGGTATGTTGTGCTTCCACTATCACTTGTTTCAAGAATTTTTTCAATTTCATTCTTAATGTCTTTGTTGAGCCACTGGTCATTCAGGAGCATATTGCTTAATTTCCATATGTCTGCATAGTTTCCAAAATTCTTCTTATTATTGATTTCTAGTTTTATTCCATTGTGTTCAGATAAGATGCTTAATATTATTTCAGTTTTTTTGAACATTTAAGACTTGTTATATAACTTAATGTGTGGTTTGTCTTTGACAGTGATCCATATGCTGAGAAGAATGTGTATTATGTAGTATTTGGATGAAATGTTCTGTAAATATCTATTAGATACTTTTCATGTATAGTGCAGATTAACAGATTAAGACGAATCTTTCTTTGTTTATTTTCTGTTTGGATGATTTGTCCAATGCTGAAAGTGGGATGTTGAAGTCTCCAGCTCTTATTGTATTGGGTCTTATCTCTCTGTGTAGATCTGATAATATTTGCTTTGTATAACTGGTGCTCCAGTATTGGGTGCATATACATCTAATATATTTGTTATATAATATAATTGTTATATCATCCTGATGAGTTGACTAATTTATCATTATATAATGACTTTTTTTGTCTCTTCTTTTCATTTTTGTCTTCAAATCTATTTTGTCTGATTTAAGTATAGCTACTCCTGCTCTTCTTTGGTTTCTGTTGACAAGGAATGTCTTTTTCCATTTCTTTATTTTCAGTCTGTGTGTCTTCATAGGTGAAATGTGTTTCTTTTAGGCAACATATCACTGGGTCTTTGTTTTTAATCCATTCAGTCACTCTATGTCTGATAGAAGAGTTGAGTCCATTTGCATTCAATGTTATTATTGATAACTAAGAAATTGACATTTTGTTTTTTGTTCTCTAGTTGTATTGTAGTCTTCACCTTCATTAAAAAAACAGGAAGAAAAGAAGGAATAGATTTTCTCTGGTGGTAGGGTTTAATTTCTCACTTTTTCTTTTTTGTGTATGTGTTGTGTATTTTTTGGTTTGAGTTTATCATGAGTTGCAAATACTATCTTACAACTCATTTTAAAATGAAGACAACTTAACACTGATTGCATAAACAGACAAACAAGCAAAAATGAAACTATTACAAATTTACCCTTTCACTTTGTTCCCTCCTGCTTCTTAACTTTTTGTTGTTTCTATTTATATCTTACACTAATGTCTACGTATTGGAAAGTTGCTGTAGTTATTATTTTTTATTGATTTACCTTTTAGTCTTTCTGCTTAAGATAAGAGTGATTTAGACACCACAGTTACAGTATTATAACAATTTGTGTTATTCTGGGTACATACTAATTACCAGTGAGTTCTTTATACCTTCAGGTGATTTCTTATTGCTCGTTAACATCCTTTTTTTCTGATTAAAGAAGCTCCCTTTAGCATTTCTTGTAGAATAGTTCTGATGTTGGTGAAATTTCTTAGCTTTTGTTTATCTGGGAACATCTTTATTTCTCCATCATGTTTGAAGGATATTTTCACTGGATATACAATTCTAGGGTAAAAGTTTTTTTCTTCAGCACTTTAAATATCTCATGCCACTCTGGCCTGTGAAGTTTCCACTGAAAAGTCTGCTGCCAGAAGTATTGGAGCTCCATTGTTTGTTATTTGATTCTTTTCTCTCACTACTTTTGAATGTTTTCTTTATTCTTGTCCCTTGGGTTATTTATTTATTTATTTATTTATTTATTATTATTATACTTTAAGTTTTAGGGTACATGTGCACAATGTGCAGGTTAGTTACATATGTGTACGTGTGCCATGCTGGTGTGCTGCACCCACTAACTTGTCATCTAGCATTAGGTATATCTCCCAATGCTATCCCTCCCCACTCCCCCCACCCCACAACAGTCCCCAGAGTGTGATGTTCCCCTTCCTGTGTCCATGTGTTCTCATTGTTCAATTCCCACCTATGAGTGAGAATATGCGGTGTTTGGTTTTCTGTTCCTGCGATAGTTTACTGAGAATGATGATTTCCAATTTCATCCATGTCCCTACAAAGGACATGAACTCATCATTTTTTATGGCTGCATAGTATTCCATGGTGTATATGTGCCACATTTTCTTAATCCAGTCTATCATTGTTGGACATTTGGGTTGGTTCCAAGTCTTTGCTATTGTGAATAATGCCGCAGTAAACATATGTGCGCATGTGTCTTTAAAGCAGCATGATTTATAGTCCTTTGGGTATATACCCAGTAATGGGATGGCTGGGTCAAATGGTATTTCTAGTTCTAGATCCCTGAGGAATCGCCACACTGACTTCCACAATGGTTGAACTAGTTTACAGTCCCACCAACAGTGTAAAAGTGTTCCTATTTCTCCACATCCTCTCCAGCACTTGTTGTTTCCTGACTTTTTAATGATCCCCATTCTAACTGGTGTGAGATGGTATCTCATTGTGGTTTTGATTTGCATTTCTCTGATGGCCAGTGATGGTGAGCGTTTTTTCATGTGTTTTTTGGCTGCATAAATGTCTTCTTTTGAGAAGTGTCTGTTCGTGTCCTTTGCCCACTTTTTGATGGGGTTGTTTGTTATTTTCTTGTAAATTTGTTTGAGTTCACAGCTGAATTCTACCAGAGGTACAAGGAGGAACTGGTACCATTCCTTCTGAAACTATTCCAATCAATAGAAAAAGAGGGAATCCTCCCTAACTCATTTTATGAAGCCAGCATCATCCTGATACCAGAGCCGGGCAGAGACACAACCAAAAAAGAGAATTTTAGACCAATATCCTTGATGAACATTGATGCAAAAATCCTCAATAAAATACTGGCAAACCGAATCCAGCAGCACATCAAAAAGCTTATCCACCATGATCAAGTGGGCTTCATCCCTGGGATGCAAGGCTGGTTCAATATACGCAAATCAATAAATGTAATCCAGCATATAAACAGAACCAAAGACAAAAACCACATGATTATCTCAATAGATGCAGAAAAGACCTTTGACAAAATTCAACAACGCCTTCATGCTAAAAACTCTCAATAAATTAGGTATTGATGGGACATATTTCAAAATAGTAAGAGCTATCTATGACAAACCCACAGCCAATATCATACTGAATGGGCAAAAACTGGAAGCATTCCCTTTGAAAACTGGCACAAGACAGGGATGACCTCTCTCACCACTCCTATTCAACATAGTGTTGGAAGTTCTGGCCAGGGTAATTAGGCTGGAGAAGGAAATAAAGGGTATTCAATTGGGAAAAGAGGAAGTCAAATTGTCCCTGTTTGCAGATGACATGATTGTATATCTAGAAAACCCCATTGTCTCAGCCCAAAATCTCCTTAAGCTGATAAGCAACTTCAGCAAAGTCTCAGGATACAAAATCAATGTACAAAAATCATAAGCATTCTTATACACCAACAACAGACAAACAGAGAGCCAAATCATGACTGAACTCCCATTCACAATTGCTTCAAAGAGAATAAAATACCTAGGAATCCAACTTACAAGGGATGTGAAGGACCTCTTCAAGGAGAACTACAAACCACTGCTCAATGAAATAAAAGAGGATACAAACAAATGGAAGAATATTCCATGCTCATGGGTAGGAAGAATCAATATCGTGAAAATGGCCATACTGCCCAAGGTAATTTACAGATTCAATGCCATCCCCATCAAGCTACCAATGCCTTTCTTCACAGAATTGGAAAAAACTACTTTAAAGTTCATATGGAACCAAAAAAGAGCCCGCATCGCCAAGTCAATTTTAAGCCAAAAGAACAAAGCCAGAGGCATCATGCTACCTGACTTCAAACTATACTACAAGGCTACAGTAACCAAAACAGCATGGTACTGGTACCAAAACAGAGCTATAGATCAATGGAACAGAACAGAGCCCTCAGAAATAACACCACATATCTACAACTATCTGATCTTTGACAAACCTGAGAAAAACAAGCAATGGGGAAAGGATTCCTTATTTAATAAATGGTGCTGGGAAAACTGGCTAGCCATATGTAGAAAGCTGAAACTGGATCCCTTCCTTACACCTTATACAAAAATCAATTCAAGATGGATTAAAGACTTAAACGTTAGACCTAAAACCATAAAAACCCTAGAAGAAAACCTAGGCATTACCATTCAGGACATAGGCATGGGCAAGGACTTCATGTCTAAAACACCAAAAGCAAGGGCAACAAAAGCCAAAATTGACAAATGGGATCTAATTAAACTAAAGAGCTTCTGCACAGCAAAAGAAACTACCATCAGAGTGAACAGGCAACCTACAAAATGGGAGAAAATTTTCGCAACCTACTCATCTGACAAAGGGTCCCTTGGGTTTTGATTATTAAACGCCTTGAAGTAGTCTTCTTTGGGTTAAATCTTCTTGGTGTTCTATAACCTTCTTGTGCTTGAATATTGATATCTTTCCATAGGTTTGGGAAGGTCTCTGTTACTTTCACTTTGAATAAACTTTCTACCCTTGTCTCTTTCTATACCTCTTCTCTAAGGCCAATAACTCATAGATTTGCCCATTTGAGACTAAATATAGATACTGTGGACGGGCTTCATTCTTTTTGTTCTTTTTTCTATTGTCTCCTTTGACTGTGTTTTCAAATAGCCTGTCTTTAAGCTCTAATTCTTCTGCTTCAACAGTTTTGCCAATTAGACACTCTGAGGCATTCTTCAGTATGTCAATTGCATTTTCAACTCTAGAATTTCTGCTTGATTCTTTTTAATTATTTCAATCTCCTCATTAAATATATCTGACAGAATTCTAAATTCCTTCCCTGTGTTATCTTGAATTTCTTTGAGTTTCCTCAAAACAGCTATTTTTGAGTTCTCCGTCTGAAAGAGTACATATCTCTGTTTCTCCAGAAATGGTCCCTGGCACCTTATTTATTCTGTGTGGTGAGGTCATGATTTGTTGGACGGTCTTGATGCTTATAGATATTTGTTCGTTTCTGGGAATTAAGGTAGTCTTTTCAGTCTGGGCTTGTCTGTACTTCTCCTTCTCAGGAAGGCATTCTTGCTATTCAAAGGGACTTGGTTGTTGTGATCTGAGTTATATCTGCATTGGTTACCACCCCAAGCCCAGTAATGCTGTGGTTCTTGCAGGCTCGTAGACATAGCACCTTGGTGTTCTTGGATGAGATCCAAAACATTTCTCTGGATTACCAGAGAGAGACTCTTGTTTTTTTACCCTTAATTTCTCCCAAGCAAATGGAGTCTCTCTTTCTGTACTGAGCTGCATGTAGCTGGGGTTGCGGTGACACTTACACCCTGTGTCTACCACCACTGAGACTGGGTCAGACCTGAAGCCAGCACAGCACTGGGTGTTGCCCATGGTCTGGTGTAACCACTACTTGGCTACCACTTACGTTTGCTCAAGGCCCTAGGGTTCTTCAGTCAGCAGGTGGTAAGGACAGTCGTGCTTGTTTTCTTCCCTTTAGGGTGGTGAGTTGCCTTAGGCCCCAGGTAGGTCCAGAGATGATATCCAGGAGCTAGGGACTAGAGCAAAAAAAACTTTAGAATTCTACCTGGTGTTCTATTGTACTGTGGTTGAGCTGCCTCTTAAACCACAAGATACAGCCCTTTCCACAGTCTGAGGGGCCTCTCTCCAGTCCACCACCACCACAGATCCATTGGGGTTACTGCCAGTCTACTGCTGATGTTCCTTTAAGGCCTAAGGGCTCTTCAGTCAGCTGGTGGTGAATGCTGCCAGGCCTGGGACTCACTGTTCATGGCAATGGGCTCCCCTCTGGCCCAGGGCATGTCCAGAAATGCTGTCCAAGAGCCAAGGCCTGAAATCAGGGACCCCAGGAACCCACTTGGTGCTTTACCCCACTGAGGCCAAGCTGGTACCTGAAGCCAGCACATCTGAGTCTCACCCAAGGCCTACGGCATAGTACTTGGGTATTACTTCTGGTTCTTCAGAGCTCAAGGGCTCCTTAGTCAGCAGGTGGTGAATCCTGCCAGGACTGGGTTTTTCCCTTCAAGGCAATGGGTTCCCTTCTGGCCCAGGGTATGTCTAGATGTGTCATCTGGGAGCTATGGCCTGTAATCAGGGCCCTACAACTATGCCCAGTGCTCTTTCCTACTCTGGTTGAGATGGTATCAAAGATGCAAGACAAAGTCCTTTTTATTCTTCCCTCTCCTCTTCTCAAGCCAAAAGAATGAGTCACTTTTGTTGCTGCAATTTGTGCTGTCTGGAGTTGTAGGAGGGGTGATGCAAGCACTTTCTTAGCTGCCCTGGCTGGTGTTTCATGTCCACCAGCTCTGCGTTCAGCACAGCACTCGGACTTGCCTAGGAATTGTAAGATTTCTTTTCAAATTTATTGAGGACCCCAAAGCACTTCAGCCTGTGATGGCAAGACTTGCCAAAACTCGAGTTCTGACCCTCTGGCTAGGGCTGGTCTAGATGCTTCCTCCATGGGTGGGTGTCAGCTGATTTTAGCTGGGTTTTGCTTTCTGCTGTGACAGGGCAGCACTTAGTTGAATGCAAAGTCCCAGAGTTGCTGTGCTGTCCCTCCCCCAAGGACACAGATTCTGTCTATATACCATGTGGTCACTGCCAGGGCATAGAGGAAGTGTGCCATCTGTAATTCAAGACTGTCTTTCCTGCCCTCCTCAGTGCCTCCTTCACTGATATGAAGTTAAAACAAGGTACTGTGATTGCTCACTTGATCTTTGGTTCTTATGAAGGTGCTTTTTTGTGTAGATAGTTGTTAAATTGGTGTTCCTGTGGGAGGGATGATAGATAGGTCAAGTGTTCTATGTGGCTATCTTGCTTTGCCCTCTCCTACAATTTCTTATTCATCTATTTTCCTCTGTTAGCTCTTATCTGCTTGAACTAACTAGAATGAATTTTTAGTAGTTCATTTCTGGTGCTATAACAACAACAACAACAACAACAACAACAACAAACAAGCAAACAAAAAACAGAAACTGGTTAGCTTATAAATAACAGAAATTTATTTCTAACATTTACGGAGGCTGAGAAGTCCAAGATCAAGGTGTTAGCTAATTCAGGATGTGGTGAGAGCCCACTTTTTGGTTCACAGAAGGTGCCTTCTCATGGCATCCTCACATGGTGGAAGTGACAAATGAGATTTTAAAAATCTCTTTATAAGGGCACTAACCCCATTAATGAGAGCACCATCCATCATCATGACCAAATTACCTCTGAAAGGCCCTACCTGTTAATACCATCAACTTGGGGGTATGACTTCAACATATAAATTTTAGGGGACACAAACATTCAGACTTTAGCAGAATTCTGTTGTCTACCTACAGGTGAAATTTGAGTTACACAATAATTGCTTCATCAAGTGGTTGCCGGTAATCAATATTCAAAGAAATCTTAATATTTGGTTGACTATGTGGCAAGGTCTAATTATCATTAACAGATAGGATTTGTTTCCATGACAACCAGTGGTAAAACATTTAAATTATGTCTTGTGATAATGCTAGAATGAAGTCCTATTAAAGACAAAGCTGTCTAAACTGAGTGACTGCTGTGATAGTCCATTAACGGTAGTTCAAGCATAAAAAGACTGTGTGGGTGGAATGGCTACTTCAGACTGTACTGCAGAGCTTTGAATGCATCAAAATATGACCAGGGAACCCAGATATTTCTATGATTGCCTTAAGATGATGTCTTATCTCTTATATCAGCAGAGTTGAAGAAGTCCGAATTCAGAAGTCTAAATTTCTGATTTCTAGGTTTTATATAAAGGAGCCCAAGATGGCCTCTGTATATTGGCCATATGTTGTTTACTTCTTTATAACAGGCTGAAGTCTGTTAACTCAAAAGTTTGACACCACTAAACTCTAACTCATATATATCCAGTTGTTTTAAACATACCCCCAATGTGCAGAGTTTTAGCCATTTAGAGCCTCTTGGCTTTCCATATTCGATGAAAATGTACCAAACACTTACTAGGCAGAGATAAGATAAACTCTATAGATATAAAAGACTCCAATTCTAACCTTTGGAAGTGTTGGACTCCCCAGAGATTTACTGTAGGACTGCTGAACATTGCCTAAAACACAAGCCTCCTATCTGATCTCTCTCTTTCTCCTGGGAGTTCTCTTGCCCTTGTCTCACTATGAACAGTGGTCCCTGTGCTGTATCTCTTGGATATTCTTATGCTCTGAGGTCTTTCTCTCTACCCCAAAACCTGTTAAAGTGTTGCCCAGATAATGCTTATCTTAAGCTCACAGTGTGCTACTGTCACCTCATTGTCTTTTTTTTTTTTTTTTTTTTTTTTTGGAATCAGTCCCCACATTCATCACACTTACTGTACCAGGGTAGTTGAATTATACTGCAGATCACATTCATAACTACATTACTTCTCTTGAGTAAAAATTAATTTACTTCTTGAAAATGAGAAGGATCTGGAAAGTTAATCAATGGTTTTGGTTAATTGGACAAATATGAATTCCCTGAATCTCCTGTCAATCTACCTCCTATGCCAGCAGAAGAAACCTCTCCTTCTCACTCATGTGTCTAGTTTTTTTGCATCCAGTAAATTCCTCACTTGAAACAATTATCTTGCAAGAGAATTCAAATTCTTCTCATTTCAATATGTCTACTTCCATTTTTTACCTCAAGGCCTATAAATTATGTCAGGTTTCAATATAACCTAGGGAGTCATTTACAAAATAAACCAGGTTCCATACCAAAAATAATTACAACATTTTGCTAATATAGCAAGAAAAAATCTGGAGAATTTATGAAAATGGCCTCTGAGATTATAGACAATGATGGGAAGGATATCATATTTGGATAGGCTTTTTGCTTGTTATTGTTAATATGGGCGTATACAGCTAGAGCTTATTTAACTCAAAATTCTTGATTTAGAGTTCTAGTTTGAGAAAATAAGAGTGCTGCTAAATGTTTTCTCAGTGGATTGATTAAAACTTCGGCTCCGTATTGGCCTACGATGAATGAAACTGAGATACCAGTGCACTCGTCTGTTCATTGTAGCACTTGTCACAATAGCAAAGACATGGAATACACATAGGTCTCTATCAACAGTGGATTGGATAAAGAAAATGGGGTACATATATAACATGGAATACTAGACAACCATAAAAAAGAACAAAATCAAGTCCTTTATAGCATCGTGGATGTGGTTGGAGGTCATCATCTAAACAAAATTAATGCAGGAAGAGAAAACCAAATACTGCAAGTTCTTATTTACAAGTGGGAGCTAAACATTGGGCACTCATGGACATAAAGATGGCAACAGTAGACACTGGAAACTACTAGAGGAGGGAGGGAAGGAAGGGTCACAGATTGAAAAGTAAACTACTGGGTACTATGATCAGTCCTTGGGTGGGATCATTTGTACCCCAGACCTCAGCATCACACAATATGTCCATGTAACAAATCTGTATATGTACTCCCTGATTCTAAAATCAAAGCTGAAATTATTAAAAAATTTATTAAAAAAAGAAAAGAAATAGAGATGTCAGAATTTCCTTAGTATAATGTAGAAACTTGGGGAAATAGGATGGCTGAAGTAAATTATCTCTGAGAGGCAATCGACTCAGTCACCCTGTAGTTCTGTTTCTGAAAGGTCCTAGTTTATAGTCCCTTCCCCACAGAACTGATAAATAAATTAGTATAGATAAATACGTTAGTAGAAACCCTGTAGTGCCTGTTCTCTGTAGACCAAGGATAAAGAAGAGAAATAATGACACTGAAACAGACTGTCTGATTTCAATGGGGTTATAGAATCCCTTCGTAACAGAGGCAAAGTAGCAGCACTTAATGAAAAGGGAGAAGATTATAATAGTTACTCTAACAGGCAGCAGAGCCAAAGTGGTAATAGAAGTACTTTGATCTGCAGTTATTTTTGGCAATAACTAATTGATCATTACATTTCTAGAACTGAAATAGATGAACACTTCATTAATTCCCTACTTGATCTGTATTAACAGAAAGGATAAAAATTTATCTATGTTAGAAAGGTCAAAGTGGAAGACTTTGCAACTGGAGAAATTGTCAGAAATACAGGTCTATCATAATTTATGAACAGGGAATTTCTTAGGCCACATGGACAGGAACTCAGAGTCAGTTATAATCTTGGTGACAAAAAGATTTTGGGAGAAGACTCATGAATGGATCTCTTGAAATAATGCCGGAATGAGAGATTATTTGCTTTTCGTGTAAATGGTCATCTAATGATATCCTCTTCTGAGCAGACTCTTAGTCAGGTAGATCACATGATCACGCTGTGGATGTCTGTTTCTTTCTTCAACTCTCCCAGTTCGTGACCATTGAGCTCATAAACAAAGTGGGGATAATGGTGGAGACTCAAGATTTCTCCTCACTGAAGTTTTTGCCTGGCTTCTTACATTGTAGTGTGCCAAATAAGTCATTAACAGGGAAGAATGGTGAACCCTTGTGTAACATCATATTACATGAGACAAATCAGCCACCTGGGAATAAGTGAACCCATTTCATTATGTAAGTAGAAATTTTTAAGCTAAAACTGACTTATGTTCTGAAAATAGATGAAGCTACTGAATAAATCTATTGAATACCATAAAATATTCAATAAATAACTACATGAGAATAATTCATATTATCCCCACAAATTTAATGAGCATTATTGTATGAGTCTAAGCCATCTGTTTATTTTATGTCAGATAAAGTTCTAAGAACTAGAGTAAATGCAAATTGAAAGTTTCTCAAAGCATTAAAAAGTACTTGCTGAGAACTTTCCTTTTATTATTCTTAACAAAGGTGAGTATCTGTAATGTCAGAATAGTGTGGGTTATGCTGCCATAAAACACAACTTCAAATCTCAGTGCCTTAAAAGAATAAAGGTTGATTTCTTACCCGTGTTCCTTAACAATTGCACATTGCCAGGTACTTATCATGCATTCTCAGGTATACTGGCTAATTGGACAGCCAACATAATGAGTATTGCCTTTTCTAGCAGAGGGAAAAGACTGCTCTGGAGAGTCTCACTATAGCCCAGAAGTGACATACTTCAGTTTTACTCACACCTCATTTGCCAGACTAGTTACATGGTCCAAAACAACCATAAATAATCAAGAAGTGAAATCCTGTGATGAATTTGGAGTACGGAGGACTGAAACTATGTTGCTGACTCCAAAATACCTATCCAGGAGTTATGTCAAGCTTTTCTCAAGACATTAATATTCTGGGATGATATTTGATAGTTAGCTTTTAATTTTAAGAACTGACAAATTGCTTTATATTCTTCTAAGGATTTTCTTGGAGCTATGCTGCCTTTGCTTAATGTTCCATTTTGTTTTACCATTTTCTTCATTTTCCTTTTCTTCCTTTGTCTTGGGCAGGCATTCCAAGAATAAAAATTCAGATTGAGAGCAAAGGTTGACATAGGCTGACGATTCAGAGTGAAAGTACAGGCAAGGGAAGTGTTTTCATCGGGAAAAGGTCGAAGGCTTAAAGATGATTCGGCAATGTACTTTGTTGGATGATGAAGAGCATTACATAAAATTTAATTCTATTATAACTATCTTGAAGTACTTAAAGAATAATGAATTAGAAGATGTGGTAATAGAGTGACTGTGGAGGAAAATGTGGCCTCCAGTATCCACTTAGTAATAGTTCAAAGATGTGGATATTAAAACCTGGTTTCATAGGTTGCATTAAGAAATGCTACCCAGGCCACCTCACTTATTTCAAAGGGTTATGGATCTCTTTGCTTCCATCTGACATCCAGATGGACAGGATGAGGTGGAAAATGATGATTATTTTATAGTCTGCCTCCTGGGTTGTAGGGGTGGAGATGGAGTCTTATGAAATAAAATCCTGTCATAGATGCTGGAATGCCTAGATATCATAAATCAGGTGGACTAGTGGCATTTTACCAAAATATAACTTCATTAATAATAACTTCCTAATAAAATTATTGTTTAAAAAAGTCCTCAACTTAATCCAGACTTAACTGTTACTTATCAAGGATTTGTTATGTGCATAGCACAATGATCATACACATTTTAGCTTGAGCTAAAGTTCTCTAGAAACTTTATCAAATCTAAGAATTTCATAGAAATTCTATAATTGTGATCAACATATTGGGGAATTGCATTTACTGAATAAGTTTGTCAAAGATAAAGATGAGATGTATGCTTTCTCTACCAAGAAAAGAACAATAGGGATTTAAAAGAGAAATGAAAAGCTATACATGGGATAGGTTTGAAGTAAATGTTATAACTTACCCAAGAGATCTTAAAAGCAGTAGATTCCCAACTGCTAAAATAGGTTATTTTCCTTTAAATATGTACACCAAATGGAATCTTGAAGCCTAAACCCTCACATGACTCAGTCATAAGGTTTTGGACTTACGTAGTCTTATCTGAGGAACTCAGAGTGCATCCGCTTCATTAATGCTTGCTCACAATATTCTTAAGAACCACGAAGGGGGAAATCAAATTATCAATTCAAAGACAGAGAAACAGACCAGAGGAATCAGTGACATGCCCAAGATAAAAAACAAAAACGAAACCAAAAACAACCCACCACCTAAACTGGAAATAGAAGTAAATTCTGTCTTCCCAGCAATCTTGCCCTATCCCACATTGTCTATACAGTTCCCAAGTGACTCACTCTGTTGATAAACTGAAATATGCTGAACTCTATATAATTATGCTACCTAAGCACAATTTAATGAGTGTGTAATAAAGCCCTTCCAGAGATATGAGGGAGGAATCGTTATTATTTTTAGCAAATTACCAAGCAGCAACTCAAAAAGAATCTAACTCTAAATGCCATGCTTTGAAGTTAATACTGCGAATTCTGTAGTACAGTTTTCACTTTTTCTTTCCCAAATGATAACTGATATGAGAAGGAAAGAGTTGCCAAAACACAATCTGTAAGCCGATTAAAACAACAGTTCCAATGAAAAAAATCTGAAATGAAAATGGAATGGTGAAAGTCAAAGTAATGCCCAAGCCAATAAATAAAAATGACTTTTAATTAGTATTTCTTATGGTATACACTGAATATTGTACTCTTTATGAGGTCAGAAAATCAGTATCCCTTGCTAAACTCTGAATTGACTTTATATAAGCTATCCGTTTGATAATGAGAACTGGAATTATTTGAACTTTCACCCACATTAAGCCACAGAAATAAGCACAGTGAGTGGCCTGACATTCCTTGTGGAGCGGCCTGATCATCAGCTAATATGTGTGGACACATTTGGATAGATTTTACATTATCAGTAATTTGCGATTATGCAGTCAGGTGAATTACAGTTAAAGGTGTATGAAATTCCATCACTCAATAGTGGTTTTTGTTCAATGACAAAAGTCATAGAACTTGTAATGACTTATAGGGAATCTATCCAGAAATGAGCCATTTGTCATCCCAAATGCAAAATCCAAGCTTCAGCTCATATCAGATGTAAAATGATGTATGAATAAATATTTTATGATTATTACAACACTAAAAACTAGGAGTTGGTAAGTGCTTCAGAGTGTTGGTGACACCTCTAGGCCTGTATACATAAGCCTAAATTAGTAAACTTTAAGCTTAATGAATAAACTTTAAGTCTTAATCAGTAAATTTTATACATTTATAAAAAGATGAAAAATTATCCATACCCTTTTAGTGGCAGTAAAATGTATGAAAGGAAACATGGTGAAACAAAGAATACAGAAATAGAACACAGAAAACCTAAATTCTAGTTGTGCTGAATTGCAATGTAATTTTGGATTTTAATTATCTTAGATATTTTCTTCGTCTATTAAATGGTGATAACCACCAACAAAACTGTAAGAATAAATGTATAAAAGACTATGCAAACATAAAACATGATTATGTTAATAAAATTCAGATACACTAATTGGAACATTAGTGTATCCTATGAACATGATTATTTAGGTTAACATTTACTTTGCATTACAATTACATTACTTTACCTAGTTTCAAAAACATTCTCTCAAAGAAATAATTTCCAATAGTTGATACATTTATATTCATATATCTCCAAAGACACTGTCTAAAAGGTATGTTTGTGGATTAGTTAGTTGTACTTGCCTATATTTTCCATATGGGACTGTGATATTGTTATATAATTTTTGTATGCTAATAAGATAACGAAAGGCTGGGGCTCCTGGGTAACCTCAGACTGAGAGTTGGTTGCCAGGGGAACCAATCCTGTGATTAGAGGTTTAGGAATTTTAACCCAATTCCTGGACTTTCAGGGTCAGGAGAGAGGCTGAAAGTTGAGTCAATCACCGATGGCCAATGGCCAATGATTTAATCCATCATGCTTATGTAATGACGCCTCCACAATAACCCGAAAGAACAGAGGGTGGAGAGATTTCTGATTCCTGAACACGTGGAGGGTGGCATGGTCCAACAGAGTGTGTAAATTCCCAGCCTCTCCCCACATATATTGCCCAATACATTCTTCCTTCTGACTGTTCCTGAGTTGCCTCTTCCATCTGACTGTTCCTTTTATAATAAAAGGATAATAGTAAGTAAAGTGCTTTTCTGAGTTCTGTGAACTGCTCTAGCAAATTATGAAACAGAGAAGGGCTTTGTGGGAACCCTGATATGTAACTAGGTTGGACAGAAGTTGTGAATAACCAGGAACCTGCTACTTATGACTGACACCTGGAGTCGGGGTAGTCTTGTGGAATTTCATCTATGCATTTCATCTTACAGTACTATGGGAATTTGGGATGGGTGTTTAGTAAATTGTTCACAATAAGTATTTTCAAATTTTCAATTATAAATAAAAGTTTCTGATTGATGAAGCACGAGTATGTAGTCATGTGATTTATGGGTCATGTCACTTATTCATATATCTGGAAGTGACTGATTTATTCATCCCAGGAGTTGTTTCCAAGTCATGCAACTGCTTTGTGAACACAACTGACTTAGAATCTCAGAAGATGATGAATGGTTCATGCACTTGATTTATAAGATGCATTACTGACTTATAATTCCTCCAGCTGAGGCAGAAGTCAGTGCTTTATACTTGGGTATAAACATTCATTTTATTAATAAAATAAGACTGATTTATTTTACTTATTTGTGTACGTGGACTTTAAATTTTAGCCATAGTTATGCTCTAAATCCATGTGATTCTCAAACAAGCTTAAGGTACAGATTGTATAATTACAGTGTAGTTTATGGAAACTTCTATTGCATGTTGTACCACATTTTTTCAGCACATGCTATGACCAAGATGAATTATTTGCTTATTTTTTTTCCCTTTTAGGGCTAAATACACAAGTCTTTACTTGCTTTGCCTGTTACCTCCTATTCTCTATTCTTTTTTAAAAATGCATATAACCACAGCTGGGACTTCGGGAGCTTAGCTGCCACTTCAGAATCCAAAGGCTGGCTTCACGGTGGCCTTGTGGACATTATTACTACTGTTGGATTGTCTCATGAGGGAGATGATACCAGTCCCTTAGAGACATATGGTTAGAAACTAGTACAGAGTAAGCTGAAAATGGAGGGGTCAAGGACAGGGTAAAGCAATCCAACTACAGATATTCACTTTGAAAAGGGCCATAAGGGTCTGGGCCAAAAGTTTAAGAAGGGCCCAAGTATAAAATTTATTTCCAAATTGGGTGAAACTTAGAGTATCTAAACTTATGACTAAGGCATAGCAGATAGTAATGTAGAATCATGGTGATCAGAATTCCATATAATAGTGATGTAGTTTAGCTTTGTGTCTTCACCCAAATCTCATCTTGAACTATAATCCTCAAGTGTTAATGCAGAAACCTGGTGAGAGGTGATTAGATCATGGGGGTGGTTTCCCCCATGCTGTTCTCATGATAGTGAGTGAGTTCTCATGAGATCTGAGGGTTTTATAAGCGTCTGGCATTTCCCCTGCTTGCACGTCTCTCTCCTGCCACTATGTGAAGAAGGTGCCTGCTTCCCCTTCACCTTCTGCCATGATTGTAAGTTTCCGTGGCCTCCCCAGCTGTGTGGAACTGTGAATCAGTTAAACCTCTTTCCATTATAAATTACCCAGTCTCAGGTATTTCTTTATAGCAGTGTGAAAATTAACACAAATTTGAAGCCTGGTGTTCAAGATTCTAAGAAATAATAATAGTAGTTAATATTTATTGAGTGTTTTCTGTATGCAAGATCGGATACTCTTCTAAGTGCTTTCTGTCTGTAAACTCAATCTTCACAATAATCTTCTGAAGTAGATACTAGTATCATCATTTTTATAGAAAAACAGACACCCAGAAAGTTTAAGTATTATACCCACATTCTCCCAAGAGCCAGGCATCAAATGCAACCTGTTCTCTACTGTGTCTTTCCAAAGGACAGCGAAGGTGGGAAGTTGGCCTCAAACTCAGAAAAGACAGCTTAGAAGAAAGAATGGATGAGAATTTCAGTGTATCAGCAAAATGCACTGCAATTCATGGTGGAGCTTAATTCTTTAGGAGGCAAAAACTTGAATTTTGTCCAACATAACCGATTAGAACAAAGGAAAAGAACTATAGACTGTTAAAAGAGATGTGGGAAATAGAGGCAGGCTAAGAATGACAGGGTTAGAAAATCGTTTGAGTATCAGAATGTATTGGAAAGATCCCAGAGTCTAATGGCAATGCCAAGTATTGTGTCTGGAATAGAGTTGACTCAATCAAACTTCATTAAACAAACATTGTTGAAAGAAAAAAGCAACTTGAGGAGAGACATTATAATCTATTCAGGTAATTTTAACCCCACGAAGTTTGTAAATGTAAGCTCTTTGTATAGCTCTGAATTGAATGAAGAATTAGAGAAGGTAGAGCAAGTGACTTAGGGTAGAGAATTACCATAAACAATTTGAAAAATACTTATTATAATATTCCTGTCATGAACCCATTGAAGGAATGTTAGCTTTTAAAATTATTTAAATTGAAAAATCAATTGACTATTATGGTTAAAAAGTCAATGTTTAAAGAAAGGACTTTCTACTTCCAGGCACAGAACAGCTGGAATTTAACTTAACCTCTCATCATAAACATCTAGAATACTGGACAAAATATATGAGACATCTGTTATCAGACAATGAACAGCAGGAAACACAAATCTGTAGTTGCTGCAAAAAAAGAAGCATACAAAGTGAACTTCTGTCTGAAGCCTCTTTTCAGATCTCAAGCATAGCATACTGTGCCTGTTGAGTTGAGGAGACCGAGACTGGAGATAGGGAAGACAGAGGCAACTTGAATTTGCAGAACAAAGTAGGAGGTAGGAGAAAGCTATGTTGAGAAAAGAAACTCCAGAAATCTGCATGGGAATCACTTAGAGCTTTTGCCTAAATTGTAATCTGTGTATGTGTAGGGTGTTGCTTAACAGGAATAATAACTAAAATATCAAAACAGAGCAAAAATCAAGAACAGTGGAGAATGGGGCTAAGGGTGGTCTCCTCAATAAAAGCTCATAATCCTTTGTTTTCTTCCCAAACCTGATCCAGTTTTCATATCCAGAATTCATTGACTGTTGAGATGGCTTTGTCTCTGGGAGGAAGGACCCTCAACACCATGGCAACCATGTACCAGCATGACTCCCCAGTCCTTCCCCAGAGGGACCTGTAGCCATTTATTCAGGTGTATGTCTAATTTGGGAAGAGTTATGGAATACAAGTTCTGGGTTAACAATGATTTCTACAGATTTAAAAATCATTGCTGTTCCCCTTCTAGAGTCGGGCTATGGGAGCCAGGTAATAAATAGAGCACTGGCCCAAGTTCAGCTCCCAGCAGGCCCATTATAGTCATTTCTCTAGTTCTTGAGTGTATAAATGGAACTGGTATACCTGGCAGTTGGACTAGCAACCACATTAGGTCCCTGGTCCCTCGGGTAAATCTCTCATAGTGTGGAAGGCACAGTTGTGAACATGGCTACTTCATGGTTATGTACGAGGTAATCTACAGTCATTTCCCAGGATCCATTTATTTTCTACAAAGGCCAGGCTGGCAAATTAAATGAAGATGTGACAGGGACCACTATTCTTGCTTCCTTTCCTTTTTAAAGGCTATATCAATCTCTGCTACAAACCCCATCCTCACCCTGGGATACAGGATTGTTTTCGAGAACTACTGTGTTGCATTGGTGACTGAACAGGGCAAATGAGAGGTGGCTTGTGTGCTGACAAACTTAGTTAGACACTTCAGACAGTGGGAGATAAATCCTATACAGATTCAATGAAGGTTTAAAGGGTCTAGTGATCAGGGCTATGCTAGAACATTTTTCCAAAGGAAAAGACAATTGCTGCATCTTCCCTCCTCTACCACAAAATAGTCTTGTAGGCTTCCTTGGGTTCTGGAGGCAGCCCATTCTACACCCAGAAATACTACTTCAGCCCAAATATCCAGTGACATGGAAAGCTATTAGCTTTGAGTAGGGCCCAGAGTAGGTCTAGAGTACAATGAGTGCAATCAGCATACTGCTTGGGTCCTATAATTCAACAGACTTTAAGGTGTTAAAAAGTGTTAATGATAGGAAAGATGCAGCATAGAAATTATGGCCAACTCCAGTGGATGGGGCTCTATCTCTCATGCAAAAGAAAGGTTTGTTTATTGTCTGATGCAATAAAGGTACCATTTCCTTTAAAGGCAAATGTCAGGGAGGCTTACTACCCAGTATGAAATATTTGTATTCCTTAAGCTCAGAATCCTTCTCCTATAATACAACCCACTGCTTGATGTCACCTGGTTTTCTTCACATTTCTCTATGGGAACTGAAGCTCAGGAAGATAGAACAATGCTGATACTCTGGCTACTGATATTGCTGAGAATAATACCACCCTTCATGTTACCCAGGAGTCTCATGTCTTCTGCCAGAACCCAGAAACTCTGGCAGGATTGTTAGCTTGCAAGTAAGGTAAAATCTCATTTTCCTTGTAATTTGTAACATTCTTAACATATTCTTTGTAATTTGTAACATTCTTAACATCAACTCACTTGTTGATGATTCCCACGTACATTATTTTATTGTTGACTTATAATGTGTCCCAAGTTTAAGGGATCATTTTGGTTTTCTAGAAGTACTTATGCTCAACTAGGGCATCCTCTAGACCTTTAAGTTCATGTCATCTTGATAGTAGAGATTTAAATGTTATCTTCCCACAAATCTCTTTCTTATATTATCTCTTTTTCCTGCCGAGAATGATAAGTAAGGTTTCACACCATATAGGTCAAGAAAATGTGTCATAAAGCTTCCAGAACACTTAGAGCGTTTCACTTCTTTTACACTTGGGGCAGACCTTTTCTTTTCAGAATTTGCACAACCCCCTGAGTTTCATTTTTGTTCTGCAATCCTTCCTAAATAAAAGAGAGTTCATGTGAAAGAAGAATTCATGTAAATCAGAGTCTCCTAGGTTTGTATTTTGTTCTGAGGTTGTTAGCAAAGCTATTTGGTAGATATGTACCAACAAAGAACAGATATTTTAGAAATACTTTCTCACTTTTATAAATTTTGACCATATAGTTGTATATACATCACATTTCATCCTATTTTATCTCAATAAGTATTAATACAAATTGGAACATGGATGTGAAGGATAAGGAACAGAGTTCCCTGGCAGAAAAAAAAGTAGAATAAGCATCAAAAACTTCAGACGAATACTTAAAACTAAAATTCTACTCTTTGTTATTTACCAGAAAGAAATGAAAGCATATGTTCTCAAAAAGACTTTACATGAATGTTCATAGCTGCGTTACTCATAATAGCCCCAAATAAGAAGCAACCAAATGTCCATCAACAGGCGAATGGGTAAACAAATTGTGGTATGTCCATTTAAATAAATAACATCAGCAATAAAAGAAAATGATATACTAATACATACAGCAACATGGATGGATCTCAAAAGAATATGCTAAGTGAAAGAAGGTGAATACAAAAAGTACATACAGTTTTGTTTCATTTATGTGAGTTTCTAGAACAGGCAGAGCTAATCTACGATGACTGAGAGCAGACCCATTATTTTCTGGGGATGTGGAGTAGTAATTGCAAAAGAGGGAGCTTTCTGAGGGGACAGAAATCTTCTGTAACTTGACTGTGATGGTTATCACAGAGGTATACACGTTTATCAAAACTCATCGAGCAGTATATTGAAAATAGGTATGTTTTATTGTATGCAAATTATACCTCAGTAAAATTCTAAAAAGAAAAAAATTCAAGATTATAAAAAATTAATGATGCTAACTGCCTTTGTTTAAAGTATAAACATAACTTGGAGTTAGATATATATTTTGTATTATGCAAGAGAAAATTTTGAGATTGGTGCTGGACAGAATTGTGGTAACCATGATGAAAATAGTGAGGTCATTCTATACCAACTCAATGTCAGTGAACTGAAACACGTGTTTAAGGGCCCATAATGATTGTTCAGTAATGCCAACTATACTTTCGTGTGTGTAATTACTTTTATTTTGTAAACCTCTATTAGTCCCTATTGTAAAATTTTGGGTTATAGTTAAAGTGAGAGTGCCAGTATTTCAGAAATAGTGCTGTCATATATGTTCACATGAATTTTGTGCGGCACAACTCAATGGGTGCCATTCATGGACAGTACAGTATGATTTTACCACAGGTTGAGCTGGCATTAAAAGTCCTTTTCAGGTGTCCTTAAGTTAAAGACAGTGCCTATACATCTTGGTTTCAGGGTACCTTGAAGTCAAATGCTTTTGTAGGCTTTCTTAAAGTATGGGTCCAGTCTCTCTGTGAGAAAGCTGCCAGCTTACAATTTATCTGAGGTACATTCCACTTGCTCTTCCAAATGTCCAGTTTGTCTTTTTCGTCATTACTAGACTGAAAAAAGGAGAGGCCTTACAAGGAGAGTTGTTGACTTATTTCGTTCTGCTTTATTGCAATCTTTACAACAAGGGGGGAGACATGATTTTTCATTGCATATGACTAGTTTGTTTTAAAGTCCTTCACTGTTTCCTGATCAATAGTTTGATTTACAAATAGTGTTTAAATTCACTAACTACTATACAGCTGTAGTTTCCTTGAGAATTTTATATCCAGTCTCTGACACAGACCATAGGGACAATGCTGTTTTCTTAGGGAATACACTAGTTTAGCCCCATGTTAATGCAAGGGGTATGATTTTTTTACATATATATTAATGTAAAGCAAACCAACATATATTTAGGCATTATAAGATTTCATAATATGATGATCTGTTTTCCTGGTATTGTCTCAAATAGTAATGGAAAATGTTAAATATTTTGTGTTTTTTCCTTTTTGTAAAACGTAGGAGATACACTAACTGATCGACTGGCAACTTTTTATTAAAGGGCCAAACAGTAAGTGTTTTAAGCTTGTAGGCCATGAGGTTTCCTTTGCTATGTCTCTACTCAGTCACCACAGCATGAACGCAACCATAAACACTGCTTAAATGAATGAGAGATGATCTGGGCTCCAATAAAACTTTATTTACAAAAACAGGTGATTGGCCCACAGGCCAAAGTTTGCAGACCACTGAATTAAATAATATTTAAATTTTCTCAAGTGTCTAACATGTTGTTACTCTATAATAATAAAACAGAAAATATTCTAAAATAATGCTATGTGGTTTAAACAAAAGATGTAAGTTCCTTGTCAAAAAAACTGGAATTATAAGTTTGTAAGCCCAACTTTTGACATGACAGATAATTGAGCGTTTAGGATCATTTCAGAAGCAAAGAAATTAATTTCTTATCTCTCTCACTCTGTGCACTTTCAGGAAATGTATTACATGGATTTATTTGATAAGAGTTAAGAATGGGTATATTCAGAATAAATGAGCTTGAAGTGCAAGATGTATTTTAAAAAGTCTTTGATCAAAAGCCACGTTACATTATAAAGGTAAGATGCTATGCTGAGGATTTTATGGAACAAGAATTTAATAGCATGCCAAATTTCGGATAGAACCCACTTGACATTGTCACAGCATATAAGTGAACTTTCTGGGGTGGTATGTCCTTGATGAAGATAAAAATACATTCTGTTCCTTAAAAATGCAAATTCATTTCAAAGTACATTAAACTTGAATAAATAAAGTTTTAATGAAACATAGGGTTGTTTTTGAAATTCACTCTGTTCTTTGACAGACTGTAAATGGCTTCATTTCTCTGTGCTTATCCCTTTTTCATAAGGTCTGTAAGCACTATTCTACAATTATTAAATTCTGGACAGCCTTTTGTATCTCTGACATAGTTTGAGGAAGGAATTAATGAGCAATAAGCCTGTAAGTTACTTGCTCAACTTCTCCTGTTAAAACAGCTCATCCAAGATCACTCACAAACAGCTGTGTCTACAAGTCATAAATGGTAGGTCATGGGTGGTGACTAACATGTGACTCCCAATCTGTGTGTCTGAAGAGTTACTCCTCAAAAGGGATATTTTCACTACGTGAAAAAGTTATTTTAAAGGGCTCTATCATCACCAAGTTATGTGGGCCCCATCTAACCTACGCCAATTTCAAAAATGACACATGGATAGGAGATAATTTACTCTTTCAAGTCACACAAGATTGGTAAACCAGTTTAGGGCTTCAAGATCTCTAGGGACAAGGTTCATCTGTCCCTTAAATTCTTTTCCCTTCCTCCTGAAGGCATTTGCCTTATACATTTCATACAAAGTTTTGACAGTATCAGCAATCAGAAGCAGAGACACATTCTCCATTCCCCATCCCAATCTTCACTGGATCTTTGATTTCATGTAAGTCCATCCTGCTTGAAATTGTATCTCAGGAGACTTGGGGTTAGAGCTTTGGGTAGCAATAATGTTTGGCAAAATAATACTGTAAAACTGGTTTGGAAAGCTCAAAAGGGAACTCATTTACATTTTAAGACTTTTGCTACTTCCTGGTTTCAGGCAGTGCCGAGACACCCACAAACATGAACACTTTTCAAAATTGCATTTGGCACATGCTTTTTCAGTTCCAGCTAGATTTAGGAAATGTGCCAGCTAAAAATAATAATGTAATATGAGCAAGATTTTTTCTTCTTTCCTTTTTTCTTTTCCTTTCTTCCTGAACCTCTGGGAACATTGTTAATACTGTCAAAGAGGCATAATTACTTTTTTGGGGGGCATAAATTACATTTTTAGAATTACACCCTCCATTCCTTTGATGGAACCCAGAGCCAGGATGGTGTATAGCGGTAGGCTGTGTGTGTGTGACAAGGAAGTGCTGCCTGAGTATAGAGCCAGGAGTGGGGAAATGGGAAATGGGTATTTGCAGATGGTAGCTGACAGGCAGCATTGTCCCGCCTGGATATCATCCTGACTTGTGTCTTCAAAGTATAGAATGTAAGGACAGATCAGAAGATACCCAGTACCTTCTGATCAGAAAACATGTGTCATCTGTGTTTTCCTTCCCATCAAATATGTGCATCCTATTTTTTCCTTACAACTGTCATATACCATCTGCAAACCTTAGCCTTGCCAACAGTTACCCTTGAAGATAGAATGCCAGAAATTTGAGAAAATAAAACTAAGGCAGAATTTTGGAAAATCGAATGGCAGTTTCTTATAAAGTGAAACATGTACTTATCCTGTGACCCAGCAATTGTACTACTAGGTATTTACCCAAGACAGATGGAAACATGTGTCTACTAAAAATCCTGGGCGCAAATGTTTATAGTAGCTTTGATCATAGTAGTCCCAAAAATGAAAATAACCCACATGTCTGTCAATTGCTGAACAGATAAATTTTGTATATTGACACAGTGAAATACTACTCCACAAAATAAAATAAAGACATGAACTACTGATAAATGCAAAAACATGTATGAACCTCAAATGCATTATGCTAAGTGAAGTAAACCAGGCTTAAAAGTTTAGATATGGTTTGATTCCGTTTACATCACCTTCTGGAGAAATAAAAGCAGTAGTGACAGAAAGCAGATCACTGCCGATAGAGGAAGGAGACTGACAAAAGGGAATGAGGAAAATTTTGGAGGCAATGGAAATGTTCTCTATCTTGATCTCAAACTCCTGGAGTGATCCTCGTGCCTTGGCTTCCCAAAGTGTTGAAATTACAGGCATAAGCCACTGGGCCTGGCTGTTCTCTATCTTGACTGTGTGATAGTTACACCTCTTTGTGCTTGTCAAAAATCATAGAGCTGTATGCAATAAAGGGGGAGTTTTTGCTATATGTAAATTATATGGCAATACACCTGTCTTTAAAATAATTAGGCAGAACTTCACGGAGGTACTGAAAAACTTAATGCATGTTTCTTGTGTCCCTTCTGGTTTCCTTTGTTAAAAAAAAAAATCCCCAGCTACTTGGGAGGCTGAGGCAGGAGAATCGCTTAAACCTAGGAGGCAGAGGTTGCAGTGAGCCGAGATCGTGCCACTGCACACCAGTCTGGGCAACCGAGTGAGACTCTCTCAAAAAGAAAAACAAAACTCCCCTCTTCCTTTCCCATACATCAGCAGTTCGACTCCCCCACCTATTATGACAAGCTAAGCAAGACACTCAGTGTTCTTAATCAGTGGGTTCATTTTAATGCTTTCTGATACCTGTTTAGTCTCTACTTAGTTATAATTACCTTCTTCTCTTTCTTCAGCAACCCTGCTGTTTTCTGAAATCCCCTACCCTCAGATAATCAGCATGGGGCTTACTTATTTGGTTCTGTAGTTTAAACTGTCCTGAAAAGGTGGATGGGCTCCAAATGATTCTCTTTGTCTTTACAGTGGCTGTGAAATGTGGAGATGGCCACTTTATTTACTAATTCAACAAATAAATATTAATCGCCCACTGGATGCCACACACTTTGCTAAGCACTGTGGTACTGCCCTATGTAAGGGGAACTTAGTCACTGCATAAGTGACTTAAACACTGCCTAAGTGTTTCCCCTTGTTGTTTCTCCCTGCCTAGTGTTAAACAACCATAGCAATAATTTTGACACACGCAAGAAAGGGAAAAAGGAAAGCTCTGTGAATAGTTAGAGCAGGGTCCACAACATTTTTCTTGTCCAGATACAATATATTTGATGTGATAGATATAATGGCATATGATTAGTCGATGAGATCAATAGAAGGAGAAGGAGACCAATACCACAGCATATCAGCAATTCCTACAATGCTGGAGCACTGGAAGGAAAGATCTGATTTGGAGGACTTAGCTTGTCTGGAACATAAGATAAAGCTGAGACTAGAAGGACAAGTTCCAGCAGTAATAGTAGTGGTGACCTTGCTGGTGGTGAAGGATGTAATAATTACAGTGTAGCAGTAATAATAGTAGTAGCAGCAGCACTAGTGGTAAGAGTAATAAAGCGAGGCTGTGTAGGGGAAGGATTTCAGGCACAAGAAGTACTGAAGGAGGATAAATATTATACTAAAAAAACCATGATGGGGCATATGTAAGAACTCATAATATGTAAATCTTTAAAAATGGAAGAATTAGTAATAAACTAGATTGGATTTTTTTTTACTGACAGGAACTTTTTATTTTTATTCACATCCAGAGATCTTATGTATAAAGTAACTCGGATGTTTTGTATGGACACTTCCTGCTATGAAGGCAATAATTTATTGGGAAAAAAGATACACACATCTACTACTAGAAAATGAGACAGGACAGAAGTATTCTCACCCTAAAACACTGGATACAGTAAATAGAACTCTGGAAGGATAGAGCTAACTAGCTGATAAGGGGTATTCCTGGCTTTAAAGAGCAAGACAACAGAGGAAGGAAGATGTGGAGCTTGCATCCATCTAGTTGGATGAGGTGGAGTCGAGGGCTTTCAATCCTGGGGTTCTCCTTGAGCCAACCTAGAGATAAAAGGGAGATAAATTTATAGGAAAAAGCAAGAGCTCATTTTGTTTAAATGATTAAGATAATTTGGTTGTCCATTATTCCCAAGTGGAGTTGTCCCAAACAACATGCCCTGTTCCCATTTGAATCAATATGCTGTTTCTTGCCATTAGTTCTTGCTCCATTGGGGAAAAACACATTATTCTCCCATTATGTGTGCTCTTTCTCTCTCAACATAAAAAGTGCTAGATGTTTTGATTAAATTATCAGGATGAACATCTGTAGCAATGAAAGGTACATAAATACCAGTTCAAATCACTTTTTTACTTTTAACATCTTTTGGGATAGGCTAGGATCTCCTGTGAGGAACACACATCTGAGCAATGTTTTGTCTCATTTTGTTCCGTACTTTCCCAATATGCAGAATGAGATTGGAAGCTGCTATGGTCTCAGTGTTTGTGTCCCCCCAGATTCATATGTTGATACCTAATCCCCAGTGCAATTGTATTAAGAGGTGGGGCCTTTAGGAGGTGATTATGTCATGAACGGGATTAGTTCCCTTATGAAAGAGGCCTGAAGGAGCATGTGCAACACATCCACCATGTGAGTACACAGAGGGCACTATTTATGAGGAACAGGCCCTCACGAGACACTGAATCTGCTGGCACGTTGATCTTGGACTTCCCAGCCTCCAGAACTGTGAGCAATAATTTTGTGTTGTTTATAAATTGCACAATCCAAGGTATTTTGTTATAGCAAGAGAAGTGGACTAAGGCAGAAATCTCTCTAGGTATCTTCTCTGAGCTTTGGGGATGTTTCCACGTATGACCTAAGTTTAGTGTTGATGGTCTTTAGAACCTCTGCTCTTCAGGAAGTCTAGGAAAGGGTAAAGCTCATATTACAGTGAATCAAGAGTTTGTATTAAAGGTCAGAAGACATTTTCAGAGTTAAAAAAATATCAGCAACCAAAAGCAAAAATGCAAAAGAACAGCTCCCAGACTGAACGCTCCCCTGATGAATTCACTACAATTTCCTGAATGATACATTTTTTATTTCTGTTACTACATTAAGGATTTCTCTTTGAAAGACTGTGAGTTTGGGATCTTAGTTGCACCATTCTCTCAGCAAAGTAACCTTATGTAGCTGGTCGCTATGTAAAACTACCACACTGTGTGCGTGAACATTAAAAATAAAAAAAATATACAAATAGACCATGACCAGGCCAGTCTGGACTTTAGTCTGGCTTGGTAAATGTTAATTATAAATTAAACTCTTGACATCTTATGCTATAACCCTTTTACGTTCAGATATATTTCAGTCTCAGCCCTAATAGGGCTTGGTCTCGTAGGTCTAGTATAAAGTCTCTCTCTCTCTCTCTCTTTTTTTAATCATTAGTGTCAATTCCCTCTTAATCGCATGTTGCAGTTTTCCTTCTCATAGTCTTCTGAATACTCAGTTACCAATTTGGCATATATTTCTACTCAGTTCATGTCAGTTGATTTCACCTCAACAAAACTTTATTGGGTACTTACCATGACCTTGGCAATGAGGGGCCACAGAGATGACTGAGCCTTGTTGCTGTCAATCTTTTGGGATAGAGAAACACGCACATCCCACTGTGGCATAAGTGAGACACAAGTACAATGTGGAAACAGAGGAGAGAAAGATGAGTTTTTACTCAGTTAGTTTTACAGTACCTTTTGAGAGTCATGGGATTTCTGAACAGCCTGTGGAATAGTGAGTAACATAGAGGAAGTTGGAGACATAAGTCAAAGGAGGAACAAGAGAGAAGACTCTGAAGGCTTCCCTGGATTAAGAATTCATTTGAGATGGGCATGGTGGTTTACACCTGTAATCCTAGCACTTTGGGAGGCTGAGGCAGGCGGATCCCTTGGGCTCAGGAGTTCAAGACCAGCCTGGGCAACATGGCGAAACCCTGTCTCTACAAAAAATACAAAAAAATTAGCCAGGCATGGTGGTGTGTGCCTGTAGTCCTATACTTGGGCGGCTAAGGTGGGAGGATTGCTTGAGCCCAGGAGATCAAGGCTGCAGTAAGCTGATCAGGCCACTGCATTCCAGCCTGGGTGACAAAGTGAGACCCACTTTTGTGAGTGAGACTCACAAAAAAAAAAAAAAAGAAAAGAATTTGTTTGAAATGCACTATCTTTTTGATACTAATTTACCTAACTTTTAATTTACCTAATACTTCCGGTTTTGTTTACATATTGTTGGTTGTTTTGTTTTTTTTCTGATAGTTCACACTTTATTGAATTCAGTTTTCTTCTCACCCATTTTTTTTTTGTAATAACAATGAACCTAGCTGTGCCACTATTTTGCTATGTGAACTTAGGTAATTCTCTGAACATTGTAGATAAACTAATAGTATATACCTCAGCCATAGAAAACAAAGAGTACATGATAGCTAATAATTTACTGACACTCATGCGTTCATATTTAAATTATGGATAATTTGGATAATTATCTTTACCTTTGAAAACTTCTGCATGTCTAATAGTATTTCATTTACATTATGGTTTTTCTTAGATTGCAATTGATTTAGAAATATTTATGTATTATAAAATATAAGTTTTGTAGCCAAGGATAAGAGACCAGAATGATCAAGATGATTGAGTCCAAATTATTAACTGTGAAGGAGAATAGAAGATGATCAGTAGCTCAGTGTGGATGAGCCTAGTCTAAAGATATAAACCACACATTCTTCTAACTCAGCCCTCAAAGTGCAATTCAATAATTCAGCACACAGGGATTTACAGTTTGGAAAACTTTTGCAGTATCATTATGCTCTAATTTTTTTAGTCCATTCTATATGTGAGTTTTATTCCAACTTCTAGTTGGAAAGGCTCATGTCTTAAAATAAGCCTGATCCAGAAAGAAATTCTACATATGGCTAAGAGAAAAAGTAATTCTTTAGAACCTACATAGACTTAGTTATTTCTTGTGCAGAATCCTTTATTTGCCTTTTTATAGTTCTTTTATTTGAAACATAGGACTTCCCTTCCCTAGATTAGAGGAATTTGTTTCAGAATTGTCTTTCACTCCAGAAGCAGGTTACTCCTGCCTCCATGGCATAAAAAGGAAGAGGGAATGGGTACAATTGGCATTGTGCTGTTTTTTGGACATCTTAACACCACCTATACAAATGACGTTAATATATTAGTGTTTGCTCAGGAAGAACTTGAAAACACAGCTTCACAAATCAGTGCAAGTATTTTAAAGCATCATCCTCCCCTTAGTACATATTCAAGAAATAAAATGAACATAATCTGAACTTACCTCTGTTCTGCTTAAATATGTCTAAAAATTTATATGTTGAGCCTTTGCAAAATGGTAAGTGGTCTACCTATTCATTATTTGCCCCTCTCAAAGCTAATGGATATTGCCGAAAACCCATTATGGCATGTTAGCATCCCCTAAGTAAAACAGTGCATGTGAATTAGAGCAACAAAACAATTCTGGATAAAAACAGAAGTTTAGTTACAATTGCATTGACTGAGCATTAGTTATCAAGGCTACTCACCATGCATCTTTTTGAATCAGCTGGATAGGATCATCGCAATACCTAGACCAAACAGTCAGTACAAATTCAGGCCATTAGTTGGTGGCAGTTTTTCATCCCGCAGCTTACCAATCTGCCCACTTGGATTATCCTCTCTTTTCACTTTGTCAAGTAATATGCAATCCTTTTCATTATTTTTAGCGAAGAGAGCTTGCCTGGAGGTAATGAGTTGTAGATACCAGCAGAATGGGAAACTGATACGACCCCTTTGTCAAAATAATAAAAGAAGTTTAAATTATTCCTTTTTCCTGATATGTCTTTCTCATATTTACATTATTTATGCCTAGTATAGGGTTTAGAAGTTGAACTAAAGACATTTGCTGAAATAAAAGTAAAAGAAAGAATATTCTATGAAGAATCTCACAACCCATGTTTGGGGAAGAATAGATGAGATTGTGTGTGTGTGTAAGGCATACTTACAGGTATGTGTTCATGTGTGGAGGTACGAGGGTGGATTCAAGGTAGGCTGTATATAATTAGAGCTCTTTTTTCCTCCTTATGATATAAAACAGTGGAAGATTATCTTTTTTTCAATTTTAGCAATAAAATATGCTTTAAAAAAGAACTTGAACATTACACTGTAAAAGTAACTCAAATATATCATAATCATCAAAATAATATATTAAACACCAACTGGGATAGGGATTGAAGTTAAGGCTCAGACAACCATTGATTTAGATTCTGCCTGTACCATGTACTTCCTGTGGGACACTGAATATACCACTTTATTCTTCTGAACCTTAGTTTTGGTATTTGTATAATGCAAGTAATAATAATAATACCTACTTCTTGAGGGTAGTTAGGATTAAATGAAATGATGCATATAAGGCTCTTACTCTAGTCCCAGCACATTGTAAGGCAATGTTAGGCTTTTTTGTGTGAAATTATATAAATTAATAACCTTTGTATTGATTACATTTGCGTGGAGATGACTACTTCTTAAATGCTGAAGAAGTCCCTAATACTTTTCAGAGACTTTAACACTAAGAAGAGCATCAATATAAATAGAATTGTTAAGAAAACCGCTGTCAAATTCATTTTTTAAAAATCTGTTTTCCCAAGGATTAGAATCAGGGCTGACTTATCTATTAGAAATAGCAGGCATAGTGTTTAGAGCCCAGAGTACCTCTAGGGTGTCACAAAAATATTTTAATTTATTTTAAAATCAGAAATAGATGAACTTTTAGATAAAAAAGTTTTAATATGCAATATCAATATATTCATCTTGGTGCCAATACAGTAATAAAATATCATTTAAAAACTTTTTTTTTTAATAAAAAAGAGGCCCAAAAAGGCAAAATTGCCAAAAGCCTGCGGAAGTCATAGTGCAGCTTTGTTTAAAATGTGATGCCAGACTGCAGGAAATGGAATTTTCTTCAGGTCACACAGTATGCCAGAAGAAAATGTGAAGAGCAGAGTTTTCCTTGTTATTTTTGTTTGTTGGGGGATAGGAGCTTGTAATTAAGTGAAGTAGTATCACTCACTTTGTTAGAGTGTATCAGGCGTGTTTCTCTTGGAATGATATTGACTTATATCCTCACAATAAAATTAACACCAGTATATGAAAGACTCATGGATGGAAACATAGATGAATAAGACCAAAATATGTAGTTTAGAAAATAGGGAAAGGGTAATATAGATAGAAATAGTTTTTACTGTTTATAAGACATGAGGAAATGCACCTCATTTAAAGTTATAAAAATAATTTCAAGACCTGCTGGAATTCAAACCGCCGAAATATAAACCCATAGTAGTAATATGTGCTGCTAAAAATTTATGATATTATAATATTGTAAATATTACGATAGCCCTTTTGCTCAAGAGGCACTGGTATATTTAAAATATGTCATCATGCATGTGTAATGTCTTAGCAAAACAAATCCGAACTTCTTGTTAAGGCAAGCTCTGGGTTTAATCCTTTGGTATAGTTATTTGAGCTCAGTATCTGATGTCTCATAAGATCTTTTTGAACATAAGTATAACATATCAGGGCATGTTATACTTAATCAAGAATGAGGAGGTGTCTTCTTTCTTGATTGTTGGTTTTAGAGAATTGTACGAAGTTACATTTTGTGCAATACTGAATTCCTTTCATTGCCAATTTGGAGTTAAAAAAAATAAGTGGTGAAGTGCTTGATATCCTTGAAATAAAACATGCAGAAGATAATTTCTCAAGAGATGGAGAATTAGAAATCACTGATTTTTATTAAATCCCAAAAACATGCATTTTAATGGTAGTCTATGATGTAAATTCTCTAAGCAATCTTGGGAATTTTGAATATATTGTATAATACTCAGCTCAGTAAATCTTACTTTTATATCATAAGTACAAATTTAAATGCCTACAGTGTAGATGATACTGTGTTAGGCACTAGAAAGTTTGATCAGCCCTGCCAACTACAGTATAGTTGATGGAGCTCTGAATTACTGAGCAACATCATTTCACTTCTCTTTACTTCATTTTCCTTATCTGTGTACTGGAGATAGTAATTCCTGCTTTATAGTCTTATTGTGAGGCTCAAATCAGATAAGGCCTATAAAAGTGCCTTGAAAATTGCAAGGAACTATGAAAATATAAGATAGAATTATTACTATCCTTTAGGCTCAATGTTGATACCATAGCAATTAATTATGATTATTTTATAAGAGTAGTATGGGATTTGGAGCTATTTTGTGAGCTTAAATATATCTGAATGTGTAATGTAAGATTTAGCTCAATGGCAATCTCCTAGGCCATGATATTTCTCTTAGGACTAATATAAAAGCAAATATCTTTAACAAGGAATAAATTCAGTTGCTCTTTGTTGCCTCCTTAATCATTCTGCAAAGTGATTTGTTTTGGTCTTTGCAAAAGTGTTAGTTGAGAGTTTCCACCCAAAACTAATTGTCATTGAAAATAATGAATGTACACTTAAAATGAATTTATTCAGATTCTTTGACTTCACTGACAAATCAGTGGTTTATTCAAGTCTACTCAATTTGAATGTTTTCCTCTGAAGCTATGATTATAAAATCTTCAGAGTTAAAGTACTTCCCTAAGATTAATGACTAGATAATTGATTTGCAGTAAATGTAACTTATTTATTGAGACTCGTTCTATGAGATTTGTGACTGAGAAAAGCAAAAGTAAGTAGATGGATTGGGAACCCTCCTTGGTGCTCCAGGTGTAAACTTTCTGTTTCTTACTTTCTTTGAACTAACATTTATTGAGTACCTACTATATAGTCAGTGCTACTACATACATTATCTCATGTAATCATCATAAAGATTCCATTTTAGAAACTAAGAAAATAGAATTGCCCAGAAATTAAAAATCTGTCCAAGATGATCTGTCCAGCTGTAAGTCAGGACCCCTCTTCTTTACTAACTCCAATACCAGTGTTCTTTTAAAAGCAATGTAATTTCTCATCCAAATCTACATGCTAGGCAGAAGGTTCCCTCATATTCTTTCGTCTTTCTAATCAAACCTTAATCTTAGGAAAGAATTTGACAAATAGCTTTACAACAAGGCAGTAGGACACAGATGATTCATAAAGCTTAAAGTCATATCAAACACAAGGAGATGTATATTTTACTAGGAGAAACAAAACTATTTGTAATATTATGTCAAATGTATGAAACGCTTCCTAAAATTTCAGACACTAGCATACAACTGTGTTAAAGGGATTAATCAATACTCTGAAACCATATTACATAGGTAATTTTCCCTTGCTAAATAAGTGGCACTCAGAACTGTAACAGTGATGGGCTGAGATTTTCATGTAAACTTGTAATTAGATCTGTAACTGTTACTGATGGCCTTTGCTCTTATAGAGCCACTTGCAATGAGGTTGCTGTTCAAGTTGGCACTGGCAGTTTCTGTAGAATATTTTCCTGCTCCTCCTCAAAAACTCACAGCAAAGATAGAAGATATGTCACATACGCTTTTAAAAGACGGGGTGACAAGCAAAAGGAAGATAAACATCTTTGAAGACCAGAAGCAGAATAAAAACACATGGCAGTAAATGTGGTTTAAGTCACAGGCCTACCACATTCCAGGACAAGGAAGTAGCAGAAATGTTCATGCTTTCAACTTCTGAGGATCAAAACGGGTGGCAGAATGGAGCCGGATTCAGTGTGTACTACAGAGAGTTAGGCCAGGCCAGCCAAGTTCAGAGGCAAAGCTGAGGCTGATAAGTTGTTGCCTAGTAGGTGGGAGGAAGCACAAATAGGTGCTTCACCAAAGCCTGGCCAGGCCCCAACTAGCTAATACACCCGTAATATCCCTGCATTCTGAGAGCTCTGGGTGCCAATACAAGGGCAAGGCAGGTAGAGACAACTGTAAAACTGCCACACATGGAGAGGTGAGAGAGACTGAGCCAAAACAAACAAACAAACCGAGAAAGGAACACTGTAGCAGCACCACTAAAATTTCAAAGCTTATAAGCCTAAAAAGAAATCATGAAAGAGAGCCATCAAGCAGATGTTAACTGGATGACATAATTATGATTGCACAATTTGAGAAAAATTTAAGTATGTATTTTTAAGATCTTAAAATGTATAAATTAAGAAAAGAAATGATTATAGTACCAAAATGGTTATGTTTCAAAAACGTGTCTATATTCAAGTTCTAAAGAGAAATTTTAGAAATAAAAAAATCATATCATTAAAATTAAAAAGCAATAAAAACCAAAAAATTGAGTAAGTTAGGTTAACATCAGTTTAGAAGAGCTAAAGGAGAGATTAATGAATTAGAAAGAGTACTGAGGAACTGATCTACAGGATGAAAAAGAAAGAGAAGGAAGGGAAAATATGATGTCAAAGTTATGACTGTCTTGAAGAATGGTCTGACTTGATTTTTTTCCCATCGAATTATCAAAAGAGAAAATGTCAATATTTAAAGACATAAAGTGACTTAGAACTATTTCCAGGCTGAAGGACTGAATCTCCATTTAGAAACTGCACGGCAAGTGCTAAGCAAAATAAAAGTAAACAATACTTTGACAAACAGCAAAATGGAGAACATAATAGCTAAAGAGAAAATCATAAAGCCTCTCTGGGAGAAAAACAAATTTTCTAATAATTAGAATGAGAACAGATATCTCTTTAGAAGCAGTAGAGATCAGAAGACAATGAAGTAATAGCTTCAACGTGCTGAAGAAAAGATTATCAAACTACAATTATGTACGCCTATAAACAATCATTCAAGAGTAAGGACATTAGGAAAACATTTTTAATACATAAACAAGTAAAGGAATTTTTTACTCATGGAAATTCAGAAGCATTTACTCAGCAAAAAGAAGAGTATACTTGTATGGAAGGCAAAAAATGCAGTTAGCAATTGTGAGAAAAAAAGATCAAATATGTTTGTACATTTTATTTAAATAAGTAATTTTTGTTGAATTTATTTCTTTTCGAAAATACTTAAAACTAAAATTCTAGATAGAAATAATGTAAATAACATATGGTTTGAGAGGAGAAAAGAGAAACTAAATGCTTTAAATTTATTAGAAAAGTTTAAAGTTTAGGATATATATTGAATTTCAGCAAGTTCATTTGCTGAAAGTGGGTTTTACTTGTTGCTAAGTGACACAGGTCAATTCAAATTCTCTGGCCTTCTCTCTTACCTATAAAAAACCAAAAATTAATGTTGATAATAATAAAGAAAAAACAAACTCAGATAAATCATTATTAGACATAATTATTACATGGTAATTCTGTATCTAAAATATTAATGTTACCACTGAAAAGACAGAAATACAGTCGATACATCCATATAAGCAAAACATACAAAAAGAATAACAGGAAAAAAACCAGGAAATTGCATCATCACAGCAAGAGATAAGAAAAAAAAAAAAAGGACCCAGGGAAAAATAAGGAAAAAAGGGAAACATAACATGCTAGACATAAGTCAAAATCAGTAATCCACTCATTTGTTTTTTTTTTTTTTTTTTTTTTGAGACGGAGTCTCGCTCTGTCGCCCAGGCTGGAGTGCAGTGGCGCCATCTCGGCTCACTGCAACCTCCGCCTCCCGGGTTCACGCCATTCTCCTGCCTCAGCCTCCCGAGTAGCTGGGACTAGAGGCACCCGCCACCACGCCCGGCTAATTTTTTGTATTTTTTAGTAGACACAGGGTTTCACCGTGTTAGCCAGGATGGTCTCGATCTCCTGACCTCATGATCCACCCGCCTCGGCCTCCCAAAGTGCTGGGATTACAAGCGTGAGCCACAGCGCCCGGCCCGCTCATTTGTTAGAATATATAGGAATGTATTTTAAAATATTCATTTTAAATGCTGCTCTTAAGAGACACAAATAAAGCCAAATAATACAGAACATTTGAAATAAAATACATAAAAAATAAAGAATAATAAGGAATACTTATTTTTAAAAACAATACCAAATAGTGGTATTATTAAAAAGAATTTAAAAAGCCTTAACAACAATAAGACACTCTATAATAATGAGTATTCACTAATATACATATAAATATTATAAATTGTGATACCCTAAGGATACAAAATTAAATGCATAAAGTCAACATTAACAGGATTATAAAAAAGAAATGAACAAATTTACAATTATAGTGAGGTCTTTAAAACATTTTCCATAAAGCTGATTTAGAAAAATATTATCAGGGCTATAGAAAATATAAGCAATGTAGTCAACAGCATTATTTTTCTGTTTTTCTGTCTCTACCTACCTATAAAACTCTACATTAAAGAAATAAATATTGTACCATCTTTCCAACACGTGTGCAACCTATTTTAAAAATCAATCAGTAGAAGCCACCAGGGAAATATCAATTCCAAAAAAACATACTTGTATTATTTGACCACAGAGCAATGGTGTCAATAACAAAAATACCTTTTTGTATTAAAATATACATGTATGCACACAAACATTGTGTAAATAACCTTTAGTTTGAAGAGGAAATCACAATGGAAATAACAAAATGTTTAGAAGTGAATAGTAGCAAAAAAATTACCTATCAAAAAGTGTAGAATATGCTTAGAATGGTAATTAGATCACTTATTGGTGTACATTTATAAATTAGAAAAAAAGAAAAAAATTAACATAAAGAAGCTATGTGGTAATGTTGAAAAGCTAGGTGAAGGTGAAAAATAAAATATATCCAATAAATAACTCAATTATATCTGATAAATAGAATATATATTCAAAATACATACAAAGCATGCAATGTAGCCAAGAAAGAAGGAGAAACAAATTACAAAGGTAAGAAAAAAATAAGGCAGCACACATTGAAATCACAGAGAAGATATGAAAGTCAAAATCTGTATTTTTAGAAAAGAAAAATAAAAGAACATTTTAATCAAGGCAATTGAAGAAAAGATGAAGCTGAAATAACCAATACTAGAAAATGAAAAAGTAGGGTATTTTTAGACTTATGGTGGCAATTTAAAACTTATAAGGAATAATATAATAAAATTAATGCCCAAGAGAACTTTTTGAAAATATTTACATTATAAAAATGAATAAAACATAGAAAACTTGAAGAGAATAATAACCATTAGAAAATGAATTCATTCCTATTCCCCCTTCTTGAAAAAAGAAGAGAAAAAGAAAAGAGATCAAGGCTAGAAGATCAAATAGTCTATATATACATAATCATTACCCAATAAAAACTGTTCTAAAAATTAAAAAAATAAAAACTATTCAAATTATTTTTCAAGACCAATATAACCATAATAGAAAAACCAGGTAAAGACATTGTGAGAAAAGAAAATTATTTACCAACTGATACAGTTTGGATATTTGTCTCCTCCAAGTCTCATGTTGAAATTTGATCCCCTATGATGGAGGTGAGGTGTGGTGGGAGGTATTGGGGCAAGGGGGTGGATCCCTCATAAAGACTTGGTGCCTTCCTGGAGGTAATGAATCAGCTCTCGCTCTATTAGTTACCCTGAGGTCTGATTGTTCAAAGAGCCTGGCAGCTCCTTCTCTCTCTTTTCCTTCCTCTGCCATGTGACATGCTAGTTCCCATTCCCCTTCCACCACGACTGGAAGCTCTCTGAGGCCTTCACCTGAAGCTGATGTTGGTGGCATGTTCCTTGTACATCCTGCTGAACCAAGAGCCAAAGAAACCTCTTTTATAATATTTATAACTTACCCAGCCTCAGGTATTTCTTTATATTCTAAGTTGAATTTGAAAAGCAGAAAAACAGAGAAGAAAGGCTTGGCTCATTACCTACCACATTTAAAGCCACAGTATTGAACAATATTTAATTGGGACAGGAGTCAATAAAAAGAATCTAAAAAGAGACCTACAGCCACAGGGAAACACAATGTGTGATAGAGGCAACAGTACAAATTAATCATGAAAAGGTGAGCACTGCAGTAATTGGTGCTGGGTCAACTGGCTCTACATATGGTAAGAATGCAATGAGATTCTCTATCATGAACTGTACCCTCCAAAATAATCCTGTTGGATCCAAGACCACAGACTGAAAAGTAAAAGTTTAAAATTTTTAGAGGAATATGTAACTGACTATTTTCCTTACAATGTGGAAGCAAATAATTTCTTAGACAACATAAAAAAGTCATGAAGGAAACAGATCAATTAGACACATAAAACCTAAAGATATAATTTTTTTAACTTATGTAACTAAAAATAGGTAGCTATAATGGTAAAAAGAATTTATTAAAGTGAACAAGAAAAAATGAATAACCAACTTAGTAAACAAGTGTACCATCTACATGGAAAGCAATTCAGAGAAGAGCAAGCTTGAATGTTTAAAAAAATTAAAATTATGCCTCATCTCATAACCAAGAAAATAAAAAGTTTAAAATGCTGTATTATTTTACACCAACAAGAGTAGAAAAAAAATTTAAAGTTTGACCTTTCCAAATGTAGTTTACAATGTGAATAAATAAAAACTCTTTTATACTGGGAAAAGAGTACAGACTAAGGACCAATTTATAATCCTGACAGTCTAGCACGAAACTGAAGATGCTCCTACCTGTGACTCAGCAGTTCTACTCATAAGCGTACATCCTAGAAAATGTCCTGCACATTTCATAAGGATATAAATAAAGTTGTATATTGTAGAATAATTTGTAGTAATGAAATATCAGAAACAAATGACATCAAAAGAGAAATGGATAAATAAAATGTGGTATATTTTTACAACTGACATCAACATCAATGGATCTCAAAAATATAATGTTGAATTAAAAAAGCATTTGTAAATGATTCCACATGATATCATTTATGGAAACATGAAATATGTAATGTTTTGATAGTGACTACATATATATGAAATGAAGTGTAAGAGCATTAACTGATTAAATATACGAAGTTGTGATGGTAGTTGCCTCTGGATAGTCAAGAAGTAGAATGATCGTGGGGAGAAAAAGGGATGAAGTTGATTCATGATAATTTCATTTATTTTATGAAAAAATGTCAGAAGCCAATATTAGATAAAGTTAATATTTATCATCTTGGGTAGTGGATGCAGGTATGTGTGCAGTATTTACTTACCTTTTCTCTGACTTTTAACATTTTCTCAACAAATGAAATAATAAGCCAAACCCACTAGCATATTTGTATGATGATGTGTTTTCAACTAGTCAGCACACTCTTTAGTTGTATCATGTTACTTGCTTGAGTAATACATTAAATTATTAGAAGAAAATGTTTTTTTAATATTTCTGGTTTCAAGGGAGAGGAATTTTCTATAAACATTCCTAGATCTTTGTCCCAACCTCTACTGCACCTCACCTGCTTGTAATTCTGGCCTCTCTTTGTGGGAGCCAGTATCTTGCAGTTAACATGCATCCTATGATTTCTCTACATTTGTTCTCTGTTTTCTAGATTGTTAAAGCAAACTTTAAATCTGTTTGCCACATAAGAATATATCCTTTCAGGTCTTTGTTCGGAAATTTTATATTAGCAAAAGGGTTTGATAGCATGATGGCAATTTGATGTTATGTTTTCTTTAATTCTTGGACGATAGGTGTTTCAGCTGCCTAAACAGAACCTGAATGTTGCAGATAAAATGAAGAAAATAGTCACATATTCAGGAAGGGATATAAAGGTACTTGAGCTAAACATAACTTTTATTTAGTTTTAAAAAGAGGCTTAATGTACCTAGGAAGGGATATAAAGTCACTTGTGCTAAACATAATTTTCTTCCATTTCTACAAAGAGTATTAATATCTATACATGTTGTAAGCTCTTAGCAATTTTATGAGGACTATAGTAGCTCATGTTCCCATGCATTTTGATTAGCACAAATGGAGACATTGAAGATGCATGTAATAATAATACCCTATGCATTCTGTAATGGCTTTCTCTAAAGAATGTCCTTTTCTCTGTAAACATTTTTATAAAAAGTCAAAGAAGTGGAAAATATGAGAAAAAATATTTTCTGGTAACTATATTTGACTTAAATATTTTGGTATGCCAAGTTCTGATATGATGTTTAGAGATATTATAATGAATGCATGAGAATTCATTCCAGAAAAATAAATATACATTTCTTTCTATTTAAAATCTCTGTTCCTTGTATAATACCATTTGGGGATTTCTATGTTAGTCCCTCCACTGTCCTCCCACCCCCCAGAAAAGAAGCTGATAACTTCTGTATTCTCATTCATCCAAGAGTGATTAAATTACCAGAGTCCTTGCCTGACAATTTGGATGATCAATCTGAAAGTGGTTACAGCAGGACTTTTAGATGGTTCTTTGTTTTTGCTGAAAGAATTGCTACTTTCGGTAAGATAGCAGCATAAATTAACTCAGTGGTAAATATTTCTCAACTGTGATACACAAAAATGTTAATATTGTTGAAAATATACATTAGCATATAGTGCACCTGCATCCCTCCCACTATCGCCCCTCTCAGAGCCTGCAGACAGACTTCTCTGATGTCTCAATTATGCTATTAGAAGAACTATGTGTTGGGGAGACAATGCTTTCTGAGCCCCATGTGCTCCTGGTGCCAGTGCTCGCAAATGCCAGGCTTTCGGCCTGGCTGAGGAATGGACACAGAAGGCTGTGCATGGTACTGAAAGACCTCCCATTCTACTTCTCCCAACACTTACTGCCCCACCACACAATATGCCACAGAGACTATCAATCCTTTCAAGACTCAAATGCCACTTTTTGTCAGTCACCACAAGGCACCCCCAACCCCCAAGTCCTCCCTAAGTGTTATCTAAACACTCACTCATGAAGCTGAGTACCTCTCCCACTCTAACCCAGGCTTACACACTTCCCAATCCATCGAACCCTATTCTGTTTTCTGAAACTTGAGTCAGTCATCGACGTACCCTTTAAGTTTAACCTCTTGCTAAGTTTTCATTCCCCTGCTTATCGTAACACAAAAAAGTCTCCTCCCTGAGGACGCTGCTTTCTCTGTGATTCTTTCAAGTGGTAGTTGTGTTTTCTCTCCATTTAAAATTTTTTCTTTATCATGACATTTCCAGAACATTCTCCCTGTATTCTTCCTAAAAATTCCCAGCCCTTTTAAAGATTACATCATCAAAAAAATCATTCCTCTTATTGTAGTTATGCTCAATCCTTGAAGATACAACCAGCCAAATCACAATCTTAAACTTTCTTACTTCAACATTAATCCTGGATTACACTCCTGCCCCTTTGCTAGTGCCCTTGCCAAGCTCCTGAATCTGGCTGGTGTCCAAGGTGAATCTTAAGATCTGCATATTCTATAGATTCCATACATTGTCTATACACTACTGCCCTCACTTGCAGACTTAGATGGAGTGCTACACCTTTGATAACACTTGAAAGTGAGGAGTCAGCTCCCCAAGATGTGAACCTTAACTAGTGGGAAAAGGGAGATGGGAGAGAACAGAGAAGACAAATGTCTGTTTATTTCTCCCTTACATGGACTGTTCCTTGCAAAGTTTCCAGAGAAACCTCACATTCTAAGTGAAAACACTTGCTGAGAGATCTACCTTACCTCTCTACAAAGTGCACTTCTTACTACTGCTTTTATATTACTTTGCACCTTGTTTTACCTTGTCTCTTTTCATCTTCACTGTCCTGGACTTTCACATACTAAATAAGGTGTAAGTACTTTAATCCCTGCCTCAAGCTTTATTTTCTAGAAGCTGGAGGCAAAGACAAATTGTTAGTACCTGTGAATATCTTCCGTGGAGGCCAAAGGGAAATCAATAAGAAACTTCCAAGGCAAGATAAAGAAGATATTACATTCTGTCTCAGTGGATTCTTCATTCTTAATCATGTATTTGAGAAAGATGATACTCAATCAATGTGTAATGAGCCACAAGACTATATTTTTTCTGCTTCCTTTACTAGCAGATGATCTTTGATTTTTCACCAGGGATTACATTTTATTATTTGTTGTTTTTCTTAGTAAAAATGGAGTAAGAGTCTCACATGAAATGGATCAATGTAAGGCTGGTCACTGGCATTCCTCTGCTCCCAGCTGTCAAACCAGCACAGATTTTGATAATAGCCATTTCATGATTGAAAATTTCATTTTCTTGTGAATCGCAGATGCCAGTCTGCTTTATGAACTCTAGACCAGTGCTGTCTAATAGAAATTTTGTTGGTGATAGATTTATTCTGCATCATTCAATACAGAAGCCACAGGCCAAGTGTGAAATGTGGTTAGTGAGACTAAGGAATACAACTTTTAACTTTTTAAAAAAGTTTAATTCAAATGTAAATAGCTACATGTTGTTAGTGGCTAACATATTGAACAGCATCATTCTAAACCACAGGAGTGATGCTTTTGTAACCTAAGAAACACAGCCTAAAGTCAGTCGCCTATTCCAAAACCAGCTCTGAAGATAGCATTTTTGCTATTTCTGGCATACAACAAGAACTAAACTACAACTGAATGATGAGAAAAAAATCCTAATATAACTGGAAAAAGTGATTGTAATAATGCTTTATAATATTAACCCTCAGAATAAAATAAAGACACTTTGTAGACATTTCTATAGCAAATGTTGCTGAAAAATTAATGTATCTGCAATGATTTACATGATTTGATAATCCAGCTTTTAAAGGGATCCTGCTTATTAAACTTTCTACTTTATAAGTTAACAAGATACAACTGACTAATCAAAGTCTCCAAGCGATAGCTAATTCTTTGTATTTCTCAACAATAGCATTAAAATCATGTCCTTAGGAAAGTCTTATTTGGACCTCCCCCATCTTACTTTTCAGACAAGATCCTATTTACATGCTGTCCTAGCATCATGTTCGTTTCATTCAATTTAATTTTCTGTTCATAATTATACATTCACTACCATGGTTATTTGATTAAAATCTATCTCTTTTAATAGACTCTTAGATCTTTATAAGCAAGAGGATGACTCACTCACCTGGCACAGGGTCTGACGTATAATAGGTGATTAATAAGTGCTGAATATAAGAGCAGAGTGTATTCATGTTTGCAGAAAAAAATTCAATATAAGTTGCTTTCCTGTATGTAAAATTGTCTGAATGCTTTCCAATGGTTAATTCAAATAATAAGCATTGCCAGTTAACTATATTTCTTTATGCCCCCTTTCCTTTTAACCTGAAAGGATAAACCAACTCTTTTCAATCCAATGATAATTAATAGGAAACTTAGAAAACATAATCTAGCTTAATTGAAAGGTTTCAAAATAAATAATTGCCCTTGGAAAACTGAATAACGATCAAGCATTAGTTGTATAAAAATCAGCCACTTCAAGCTTCAGAACTCTGCAGTTTAGTAATAGTTTCTTGGTGTTACACAGGAGTCCCCTTTTATCCACGGTTTCCTATTCTGTAGATTCAGTTACCTGAAGTGGATTCAGTCAACTACAGTCCCCAAAACAGATGAGTATAGTACAATAAGATAGGTTAAGAGAAAGAGAGAGAGAGACCCCACATTCTCATAACTTTTATCACAGTATATTTTTATAATTGTTCCATTTTATTATTAGCTATTGATGTTAATCTCTTACCATGCCTAATTTATAAGTTAAGCCTTATAATAGGTGTATATGTATAGGAAAAAACACAGAATATAGAGGGATCAGTACTATCTATGATTTCAGGCATCCATGGGGGTTCTTGAAACATGTCCCCTGTGGTTAAGAGGAGACTACTGTAATTCTTGGGACCTTAATACTCTCCCTCTTACCCTCATGCCAGAAAGAAACCCCAGACAAGAATAATTGTCTTGTGAACTGTCCCTTTCTCCATTTATATCTCATTATTTTATCAGATTACATAGTATTTTATCATTGAAATATTTCAAATAGTGATTACAAGTTCTTACCAAATGAGAAAGTTTCTAAATTCTGTTGAAATGAGTTACTGTCTATATATACTTTCGTAGCATAAGTGCCTCATTTTTTTTTCATTTCTTGCCATTTTTTTCCTAATCCTTCCAGGGGATGAGTGTGCCTAAATATATTACAAATCAACAAAATCAGTATTTGCTAAGAGTACTTAACATTTCAGGGCTATAATTTTATAAATCTTCAACAATAAAGCAAAACTGGGCTACTAAGGTTAAGATCCTGACTTAGTCTGTTTTGACTGCTATAAAAAACTACCATAGATTGGTGGCTAAGAAACAATAGAAACTTATTCTCACACAGTACTGGAAGCTGAGGAGCGCTCAGCCTCCAGGACTAAAGTGCTGGAGATAAATAAGGTGCTGGCAGATTTGGTGTCTGCTGAGGAAGGAACTATTTCTTGGCTCACGAACAGCCCATTCTCACTGTGTCCTCACGTGGTAGAAGGGGCAATCACATTTTCTGGGTATCTTTCATAAGGGTACTCATCCGTTTCATGAGGGCAGAGTACTCATGACCTAATTACCTCTCAAAAGTTTCACCTCCAAATACTATTACATTAGGAACTGGGTTTCAACATATGAATGGGGGTTAGGAGGTGGGACAAAAACATTCAGTCTTCAGCAAATCTAAAATATTTATTTATTTATTTGTTTTATTTTTTTGAGACAGAGTCTCGCTTTGTCACCCAAGTGGGAGTGCAGTGGTGCTATCTCTGCTCACTGCAACCTCTGCCTCCCGGGTTCAAGAAATTCTCCTGCCTCAGCCTCCCGAGTAGCTGGGATTACAGGTGCCCGCCACCACACCCGGCTAATTTTTGTATTTTTAGTAGAGATGGGGTTTCACCATGTTGGCCAGGCTGGTCTTGAACTCCTGACCTCATGATCTGCCCGCCTCAGCCTCCCAAAGTGCTGGGATTAAAAGTGTGAGCCACAGCGCCCAGCCTAAAATATTTCTTTTCAAGTACTAGGTGTTGCTAGTTCCTTGAAATAGGCATTGCTGCACTCTATATCTACATATCACTTAACTGTCTCAAATATATTCTTCAATAAACTGTTAATGAATGCCTACTATGCCAGATACTGTGTTGTTCACAAGGGATAAAGAGTTAAATAGAAAACAATCTCTTGTATGCTTCTAACAGTAAGGGATATAGCATAGACTGCTAAGTGCCAATCCAATACTCATCTTGGGTTTATTCAACGCTAAGTGAACACTTGTTTGAGCAATACATTACCTAAACAAAAGACTGTATTCTCCATCCTTACTTGTAGCTATGTGTGGTCATGTAATTATTTTTTGGCCAATGACATGCATGTAGAAATATATTATAGGACCATATGGAATACTTCATAAAGAAAGCTGGGAGATATGTCCATTTACTACACTTACCATCTCTCTTCCTGCAACCTGGAAAACAGACTGAACAACTGGAGCTCCAGCTGGCTTCTTGGGCCGACAGGTGGCCTTGAGGATAGAAGCCACATGGAGGAAGTCACAATGGAAAAATAAAAGAAGCTTTGTTAATTTATTGCAGACATTTGAAGCTACAACATAACCATAAGCTTTTAATCAGAGGATTTTTTGGTTCAATCCCATGATTTTTAAGATATCCTATATATGTAAATCAAGGTACTATTACCTGACATATGTTAACAAATAGATATATACACTGTTCTAGCTATACAAAGAACATGTTGGGGAGACAGTGGCTATATCTGCTTGGGGTCAGGGGTGGCTGTTCAGAAGCACAGCCATTTGAATTAACTCTTAAAGGCTGAGTGCTATTAGTTCCTTGAAATAGGTATTGCTGCAATCAATAGCTACATATCTCTTAACTATCTCATAAGCATTCTTTAATAAGCTATCAATGAGTGCTTACTATGCCAAACACTGTGTTGTTCATGATGGATAAAGAGATAAATAGAAAACAATTAGATAAAAAACAGAAAAAAAATGACATTACAATAGAGGAATGAGCACATGGTAAAGCACATACATTTAAAAAATATTGTTCATTTTAATAACTGGAAGTAGTTTACTAATGGTTGGCTGATGACAGATTTACATAGCTAAGTGGAAGATAGGTTAGGAGGTTAAATCAACAATGACCTTGCACGTTAAAGAGTTTTATCTGTAGATTATGGAAGTTTCTAAATCAAGGGAGTGACATGATAAGTTTGGGCTTTTACAAAGATGGATTAGAGGTATATTAAGCCAGAGGCTAAGATAATAGTTAGAAGACTAGTTAGGGTAAAATACTAGGGCAATATATTAGGAGAGATTATGCCATGTAAATTAATAAATGAGAGGCTTTAAAATGAGCATGTAAATGAATAAATCAATGACTTTAGAGTTTGTTGGGTGAAAGAGGTGGAGAAATGGGTTTCAGCATGGAGCCATTTTATTTCTATATACTCTCAATAAACAATTAGAAAACAAAATTTTTAAATGATACTATTTATTTATTCATTTACTTTTTTGAGACAAAGTTGCACTCTGTCACCCAGAAGGGAGTGAAGTGGTGCGATCTTGGCTCACTGCAACCCCCACCTTCCAGGTTCAAGCTATTCTCCTGAATCAGGTGTGCGCCATCATGCCCGGCTAATTTTTGTATTTTTACTAGAGACTGGGTTTCACCACGTTGGCCAGGCTGGTGTCAAACTCCTGACCTCAAGTGATCTGCCCGCCTCGGCCTCCCAAAGTGCTGGGATTACAGGCATAAGCCACCACTCCCAGCCTATGATACTATTTATAATAGAGTAAAATAACATTAAATCCCTGAGAAAAATATAGTAAGAGATTTATGACTTTTTTTTTGAGATGGAGTCTCGCTCTGTCGCCCAGGTTGGAGTGCAGTGGCGTACTCTTGGCTCACTGCAATCTCCGCCTCCCGAGTTCACACCATTCTCCTGCCGCAGCCTCCCGAGTAGCTGGGACTACAGGCACCCGCCACCATGCCCGGCTAATTTTTTGCATTTTTAGTAGAGACGGGGTTTTACCGTGTCAGCCTGGATGGTCTCGATTTCCTAACCTCGTCATCCACCCTCCTCGGCCTCCCAAAGTGCTGGGATTACAGACGTGAGCCACCGTGCCCGACCGAGATTTATAAGGCTCTTATACTGAAAATAACTAAACTATTGACAGAGATTAAATAAATAAAGAAGTGAAGGGATATAGTTTGTTTACAGACTGAAGAAGCTATTGGAAAGATGTCCGTTTTCTCCAGGTTGATTTATGGATTCAATACCATCACAATAAAAATCCCAACAATTTTTAGAAATTATTAAGTTGATTCCAAAATTATCAATTACAATTTTGAATAAAAACTTGAATATCAGGATTTATTATAAAGCAACCACAATTAAAACGTTATGTTATTTGCAGGAGGTGAGACAAACCAGAATAGAGATAAAACAGGTCAGAGATGATATAAAGAGGCTTATATTTGTTGTTACATAATTATCACAAAGTGACAGTGGGGGAAAACATGATCTTTTCAAAAAGTAGTGCTAGATCAAGTAGATAGTTACATAAAAATGAATCTTGACTCCTACTGTTTCACTATATAAAAAGATTAAGTATGAAAGGCAAAAAAAAGCTTATAGAATATAGAGAAATATCTTCATGAACTTAGGATAGTAAAAGATTTCTTTAAAAGAGTACAAAAGTATTACTATAAAGACTCATAAATTGGATTACAATAATATTAGTAACTCACATTTATCAAAAAATAAAAGGCAGTCAGAGTGGGAAAATCTTTTAGCAATATAAAATACATGTAGTTTGCAATGGATTCATAGGCAAAATAGATAAATAACTTCTACAAATAATAAAAAGACAGAAAACCCAATAAAATTATGTCTTGTAAGCAGGCCCTTTCCAAAAGTCTCAAATATACCTATAAAAAGATGGTCAACCTCATTAATTATCAGGAAAATAAAAACTGAAATCAGAATTCACAGGTTTCAAGAAACTTAGTAATTTTTACTAGCTGGGCACACTCCATTTGGTTTCAATGTCTAGGAATAGTCCTCTGTGGCACTAGGCTTCACCCTCTGGATTTGAGGCTGTGTCCTCAGTCATTCTTCTTTTTCACAAGTAGAACATGTTTGTAGCTGCATAGTTTTATCAGTCTGTTTCACGACTATAGAAAGAAGGCCAGGCAGTCTTCTTTCATTTTGTATTTTCTCTCCCTCTTTCAGTTCAATCTGGCAGTGTTTCTGTTGGTATAAAACTTTCAATAAATTTTGTGGGTCTCCTGTGTATGTCACAGGGATTCAACTCACTAGAAAAAAGGTTTATCTACAGATTTTCCTGCATACTCTCATCGATATGTTTGATTTTTGCTGAGAGGATGGGAGAGGAGGCAAAACCCTTCAATTTCTAAGATGTTCTCTTGTTTAAGAAAGTTTGTGAGCAACACCCTTAACCTCTTCAGAGAACCTTTTGTATGACTGAATACTTTTAATCTTTCTGAAATATTAGCAGAAGATTATGCAGCCATACCTCTGCTTACTCACTAGAGCATTCTTTCCTAACAATGAATCTCTTAATATTGGTGCTTTTGTTTTTTTTTGCAACGTAGATAACTGAGAACTTTCAAAGTCCTCAATTCATAGCCTCATTTTGTTTAACAGCTTTTCCTTCAATTGTGTCTCTTTTCATACTTTAAGCAGCAAGAAGCAACGAGGCCATACGTTCAATATTTCACTCGAAAATCTCTTGAACTAAATTTCAGTTTCACTTTTTTTTTTTACAGATTCTGTTTTACACATAAATGTATAACAAAATTATGCTAAATTTTCTATCACAATATGATAAAAATCCCCTTTCCCTCAGTTTCAAATAGCTTGTTGCTCATTTTCTACTAAGTCTTCACTGGCAGCACCTTTCATATTTGTATTTCTAGTTACAGTCTTTTCAAGACAATCTCGGCTTTTTCTCTCTGCCTTCTCAAAATTCTTCCAGTTTCCACTCAGTGCCCCATTCCAAAGTCAATTCTACTTTCACATTTTTCTACTCATTACAACAACATTCTACTTTCAGGTACCAAAATCTATGTTAATTTTCTATTGTAGGCCTAGCAAATTACTGTAAATGTTGTGGCTTAAGCATCACAAATTATTATATTTCTGTGGGTCACAAGTGTGGTATGGGTCTCAATAAACCAAAACCAAGGTGTCAACAGTCCTCACTGCTTTTTGAAGGATTCAGGAAATAATCTCTTTTCCATTTATTTAAGTTGGTGGTAGAAATCAGTTCCTTCAGTTTGTAAGATTGAAATCCTTGTTTTCTTTCTGGTCTTAAACTGAGAATGACTTCCAGATTCTAGCTGTCACCAGCTTTTGGCTGCCTTCCTCTATCTTTAAAGCCAGCAAGTAGCCAGTTAACTTTATCTTATCCCACATCTTCCTGAAACGTCTTCCATGTAGTGGTTATACCTCTTTCTGACCACAGCTAAGAAAAGTTCTCTGTTTTAAAGGATTTATAAAGTTAGAATGGACCGACTCAGATAATCCAGGATAATCTTTTAATTTCAAGGTCCTCAATCATAATCACCTCTTCAAAATCTCTTTTACCATGCAAGATGACATATTCATAGGTTCTGAGGATTAGGGAGTGGACATCTTTGGGGCCCTCTTTCTGCCTACCACACTAACCATTTCAATAATTACGTTAATCATGAATGACCCAAACATTCCAATTAAATATAAATAGGAAAGGTTTCTGAATAAATACAAAAAAGACTCAACTATACTCTGCCTCTAAGAGACAAACAACTATGAAAATGCAGTTAAGCTGAAGGTAAATGGATAGAAAAGATATACCATGCAACCCTCAAGAATAAGAAGGCTATATAGTAGCTATATTAATGTCAGATAAAATAGATTTCAAAACAAAAATATCATCAAGTATAAAAAGAAATACTTCAAAAAGATAATTTTATGGTTAATTCATTAAGAAGATATACAATTATAAACAGAGCTTCAAATTATACAAAGCAAACATGTACATAATTAAAAGGAGGAATAGAGAATTGCATAATCACCTATTTAAAACCTCTCTCACAGCAATTGATAGAGCTATACAAAAGATTTTTATATATATAGAAGGTTTAAACAACACCATCAATCAATCACCATAATTTAATTAATATTTAATAGATTACCATATCAAACAACTGTAGAATACACACTCTTTCCAAATGCAATGGTAATTTTAGCAGAACATATCATGTTCTAGGTTATAAAACAATCTCAATAAATGTTTAAAACATCTGCACAGATTACTTCTAACAAAAGGTAATAAAGGGAAAAATGAGGAAAGCAATGGCATATAGGTCAGCAAAGAGAATAGCTACCCTGTCTTCTTTTCAATTAGAGTAGAATTTATTGTGTTTCCACAAGAAGCAGTGCACTTTTTAGCACCAAGAAATCTGTGTTAAAGGACTTTAAAAAAAAAGAAAAGAAAGAAAATTTAATGTTGTATTTTACAGCAACTGGGGAATTTTGAACACATGGATTTACTTCTCTATATCAAATATTGAAATCAATAAACACTTTAATGTTTTCTAGATGATATTTAAGAAAAATGCCTCAGAGTTTTTGTCTTTCTAGCTATAATTGCTTAAATAAAACAGACTTCCTAAGGAGTATCCCAATTATGATTTCTCTATCCTCTAAACTATTAGAAAGAACATCCAAACACCATCCACAAATGCAGTCATCAAGAGCTTTGTATTCCCATTAGTTCTGAGACCAGTTGAAACATTTATTTCTAACAAATGAGTTTTTAATGTAAATGTTTCCCAGTAATGGAAATATCTCACTGAAAACCTACAGCTTAAAATAAGATAATGTGGATGAAAACATTTTATAAACTGTGTAGTTCTATGGAAATATAATCATTATATATTTTATTGACATAGTATCAATATGCCATGTGAGACCTTTATTTTATAAGCTCAAGTATAATATTAAATTCTCTAGGATTGTAACCTAATATAGTGATATGGTTTTGCTGTGTGTCTCCACCCAAATCTTATCTTGAATTTTAATCCCCATTTGTTGAAGGATAGACATGATTGGATTATGGGGGCTGTTTTCTCCATGCTGTTCCTGTGATAGTGAGTGAATTCTCACGAGATCTGATGGTTTTATGAATGGCAGTTTTTCCTGCATTCCCACAGGCTCTCCCTTGCCTGCCACCATGTAAGACGTGCCTCTTCTCCTCCGACCATAATTGTAAGCTTCCTGAGGCTGCCTCAGCCATGCAGAACTGTGAGTCAATTAAACCTCTTTCCTTTACAAATTACCTAGTCTCAGGTATTTCTTTATAGCTGTTTGAAAATGGAGTAATAGATATAGTAAAAATCCAAATCATTTCTGTTAAAATGGAAGAAAAAATGCATTTCTGAAGACACATAAATATCATATACGTTATTGATAAAAGTTACTTATGAGAAAGTAAATTAATATTTTATTTATGAAATACTGTCCTTCAGTGTTCAGCCTAGGTGTCTTCTCCTCCAGGAATCCTTCTTAACCTAACTGACTGTGATGGTTAATTTTGTGTCAACATGATAGGGCTATGAAGTGTCCAGACACTTTATCAACCATTATTTTGGTGTGTCTGTAAGAGTATTTCTTAATGAGATTGACATTTAAATCATAAACTGAGTAAGGAGATTGCCCCCCTGAATGTGTATGGGCCTCATCCAATCAACTGAAGACCTGAATAGAACATAAGGTTTGATTAGGAGGAAACTTCTTTAGCTTCACTTTTGGAGCTGAAACACTAGTTTTTCCTTCCCCTTAAACCAGAACTTATACCCATCAGCTCTTTTGGTTCTCTGACTTTTGGATTTGAACTGGAACTACACTATTGGCCTTCCTGGGTCTCTAGCTTGCCAATTGCAGATCTTGGGATGGATTTCTTAGCCTCTATAATCATGTGAGCCAATTCCTTTTAATAAATTTTTTCTCTCTCAATCTTACTGGTTTGTTTTCACTGGAGAACCCAGACTACTCACTATTTCCAAGGTAGCTACAATTTGAAATCTATGCTTTTAGCTCTTTCTCTGTCTCTCTGTATAGAACATCACTCTATATTATATTTGTCTCTTAGTTTTAAGTTCTGAGAAGTCAGGAATAATGGCCATCTTCTTTATCCTTTATCCATGGTCTTAATATGGTGCCTGACATATACTATGCACTGAATAATATTTGTTGAATAAATGAAAGAATAGATGAAGTTTAGCATTTTCAATCACAACAGAATCAAGTTTACTTTTATAAGAGCCACTTCTTTATGTATTTTAGCTATTATTGGCAATAGGTAAGTTAAACCCAGGTAGACATTTCTGACTCTGATTTTTATGTCATTAAATCCTTCAGGCTACGTATGTAGCAATGTATTGTTTTCTATTTGCATTTTCAGTTACAAATCTTTTCAGGAACATGGCTTTTTGATACATACTTCTTGTGACGAAACTAGACATTCTGATGGACTTGGGCATTTCTATTCCCAGTTTGGTACAGAAGCAATTAGAGATCAAGTGTGCGGAAAGAAAAAAAAATCAGCATGGAGGGACTATGCTCCTCTTTCATTCCACTCAGCCGCTTGTTCAAAGTGAGATGATCATCTTCCCATAATAATTAGAAGCAGTCATGGCTACAGATAAATAATTATCATTATTAAAAATTCCTGATCTTAAAATAATTTCAATTGATCATTTTTTATGATTGCATTGGTTACCCCAGATAAAAAATTAAGCATGTTAGTAAATACTTTGGCATGCAGACATACATCAATATTTTTTCCTTTTGTTTGTGTATGTGTATTAATAGAATTTTTTAAAAGTAGGTCAAGGGTGGTTAAAATTACCCTGTTTTCTTCTTTATTTTTTTCTGTAAATTTTTTAAAACAACACTTAAAACCAAATGTCTAGATTTGGTACACATCAATAGAAAATACAAACAAGAAATAGAATGAACAGAGACCATTATTGATCCTTTACACAAAAGGAATTATTTTCTTTGGTCTTGGCTTTAAAAAGTGGTGTTTTCTCCCCCTTCCCTTCCTTTTCAATGAAGAAACCAACGAATCATTGTGTATGAGCTGAAGCTGCAAGGAATTACTGAAAAAGACCTGGAAAAAAAAAAGCATTATACCAAAGAGAGAAACACATTTCAAGTCAGGCTTATCTCCAGGATTTAGGCACATGCATCTTTTACTGTGTGCTGAATGAATGAGGTTGAATAAAAGCCTGCATTGATGATGCCTTACACCCCCAACCACATTACTAAAATCCTTCTTTTTCTATAGAAATTGCCCAGTGTTCCATTCCTTTTATTCTCTACATTGTTGTACCATAAACACCTAGTTTAAATGAACATGTGATGCCATTTTATAAGGCCTCTGGGGAGCGATTTATTTAAGTACGTGTTATAGCAAGAGGAAAAACTTGACACCCATTATGCCAGCATACTCCTCCATGTAAACAATGACATTTATATTCCTCTAAAGACTGATATTTATAATTCTAAATTTTAAACTAAAGTTGCAAGAAATAAGCTTTCCTTTTTTCAAAAAGACTATTCCAGTGTCTCCAGTCCATAAAGTATCATGAATGCATTTCTTTCACTTACTTATTGTACATGCTATTAGTCCATTTTCTGTTGCTTGTAACAGAATAATTGAAACTGGGTAATTTATAAAGAACAGGAATTTATTTCTTACAGTTATGGAGGCTGAGAATTCCAAGGTCAAGGAGTCCCATCTGTTGAGACGCTTCTTGCTGATGGGGACTCTCTGAAGAGTCCTAGTGGGTATCACGTGGACAGGGGACTGAGCATGCTAATGTGCTAGCTCAAGTCTCTCTTTCTCTTTTTATAAAGCCACCAGTTCCACTGCCATGATAACCCATTGATCCACAAATGGATTTATCTATTCATAAAGGCAGAGCCCTCATGATCCAATTACATCTTAAAGGCCCTGGTTCTCAATACTCCCACATTGAGGGTTAAGCTTCAACATGAGTTTTGTTGGGGAATATTCAAACCATAGAATGCACATTTATCAAAAAAAATACTTTTTTTTTTTTTGAGACAGAGTCTCATTCTGTCGCCCAGGCTGCTGTGCAGTGGTGCCATCTTGGCTCATGGCAAGCTCTGCCTCCCGGGTTCACGCCATTGTCCTGCCTCAGCCTCCTGAGTAGCTGGGACTACAGGCACCCGCCAGCACGCCCGGGTAATTTTTTTTGTATTTTTGGTAGAGACGGGGTTTCACTGTGTTAGCCAGGATGGTCTCAATCTCTTGACCTCGTGATCCGCCCGCCTCGGCTTCCCAAAGTGCTGGAGTTACAGGCATGAGCCACTGCACCTGGCTCATCATACATTTTTTTTTTAAAGCTCAACCTTCGCAACTAGCATTTTTTACTATTTACCATCATTGTTCATTTTAAGTAGAAACAGTTTTGATGTCAGCTTTCTTCACTTGATATGATATCATATACATTTTACTCTGATTTTACATTCTGTTCTTAATATCTTATTGTAAGCATATATATATATAATTTTCAAAGCCATTAAAGCTATTTACATTTTTTTCTTATGAATCACACTGTAATAAACTGTGCAGATAAGTTTTCATAATTTGAGTGAGATAAAATTTTAGGAATAGAATGCTATTTTAATGACCTTCTTTCCTGAATGTAAGAAGTTGAGTCAGTATCTCAATTTAGTCACTTTCTTTCTGAAATGGATAAGTAAAATCCAAGTCTTTTACACAACTTCACAACAGGTTAATAACTCAGCCTTAGTGTCACTAGGCTCAGGTCTTCATTCAATCTCCAACACATATATGACTTTTGGGAAGTCATGTTGTACCTCCTGTGATTCTTAGTTATCTCATTTTAAAATGGAAATGGCAACTTCTGGTTTCTGGTCCTGCATGTAAGGAGCTTAGCGATCATCACTTTATTCTAAAAACAAGTAAAAAGCCAAGGAATCAGGAACACGGCTACCCCTAAAACTGGAGAGACATACAGGTGGATGCAAAGAACTACTGCTCAGAGCAGAAACCCACGAGCAGAAATCTGTGGAACCGCTGTCAGGGTAGGGAAAACTGAATGTTAATTGACCAATTGCTGGGGACTTAGTGTGTAGACAACCCTGAGAGTTAAAACCTCCAGGAGGACCCGGTCGCCACGGTCCGGCATACCTTTGTGAGTTTTACCTCCCGGAGCTCTGCCAGGTCCTCACAGTGAATACTAAAGAAAAATTCCCTTGAGCTTCTACAGAGGGAGGGAAAAGGAAACCACTTTTTAAAATGTCAGAGCTTTATGTTCTTAACAAGGTCTGCTCCCTGGAGAAACTATTTTATCAGAACCTAACCCGCTGGGGTTTTAGCAGAGCCTACTCTACCTGGGGGAAGGGAAATACCCAATCCTAGTTCTCCCTAGCTTTCCATGTGAGGAAATTAAAACCCAGAACTCTAGCTCCCTCAGGCCACCCTGAACCATGTAAGAGGGTGATACACTGAAAATCACTGAAGTTCAAAGTCCAGAGGCACAGGCTTCCCAAAGTGCTGAGACCTAATCATAAGATGGTAGAATGTTCCCCATCCCCCACACCTTATCACTACAGCTCCTCTTAATCAGTATATCGTGTCCACCTTTCAACAAGAAATTATAAAGTTGTCAGCCTAAAACAAAGACATTAGAGGAAAACATCTCTTAATATGTTGAATTTGTTCCAGAATTAGAAAAGGGGATTATAATCCAGATGCGTGGCCACTGCAAGCCACATGTGCATCTGGTGAGGGAAGTGGAAAGGGAAGCTTTTACTGGCAAAAAGGAGTTCACATGAGCTGCTTAAAAATAGAGATCATGATCCTGAAGGCTTAAAGCCAGAATTGGCACCAGTTCATGGGTGGAGGTGCCATTATGGGACAAGAGTTCTTTCTAGAGCATCTTATTTGAATATCGCAGTGTTAACTAATGTCTAGTAATAAACCTTGTCATAGAAATATGGGCATATGTACAAAATGTACAAGCTATGCAAAGGAGGAGATGTGTGAAAGATGTGAAGAAATTTCTTGTGGGGTTTTAGGAAAATTCTTGGAAAGAGTTTGTATCTCACACATGCAAGCATGAGCCCCAACCTTTTGTGTCTTTCTGGCCCTATTTTGTCTGTGTCTGACAAGAGTGACTTCATGTTAGTATCTGCAACCTTTACTTTCCTCCTTTTGACCAAAATCTTTTTTTCTGAAAGCATTGCTGATCAGTTAGCCTGTAGTCAGGTTTTAATTGTCTCTTGGATCTCTGATGGACATTTCCTGGTTAGTTTGATATGGTTCCACTTTGTAGGGAGGTGATGGATAGCTGGAAGTTAGTGTTAAGACCCTTTTAGCAACATTTGAGCAATAATAAGAAGGCCAGAAGGAGAACCACTCAGGCTTAATTCTGGTAGATGTTATTGTTAAATTTGATTTTTCTGTTCCATAGGTGTTGGCCATCATTTCAAAGTGCTGGGCCAACTTTTTCTTTTGTCAGGACATGTATTTTTGCAGTGATATGTCAGATAACAGCCATAAAGTTTAAAATGAAAAATATAAAGCAAAAATAACAGCAATATGATAATCCCAGTCTGTGTAATGGTTCTAAGTCATGAACCTAGACTTAAAGGCAACCAGCTGAAAGGATCAAATGACCATGGGGAACTACATGAGACTTGTAGCCAGGTGGCTGTTCTCTTATTTTCTATAACTTCTCTCTTATTTTGTCACCCTCCCCCAAGGAGCTTATCCAGGTACAGCATATAATATTAATATTAGCAAGAATAGAGACACCACCTCACTCATTAATAGATCATCAAGAACAATTCTATTATCTAAGATTACCCTGGCAAGAGAAACTAGTGCTGTTGTGCGGTGATAGCTTTTGCAGTCAAGCCTGTAAAAATTGCTAGGGTAGCAGACACATGTAAAAAAATCATTTCTTGATTAGTGGCAACACCTTACCAAGGTACAAAAGTTCTACCAAAGGATACAAATCCAGAGTCCCTGAACCCACCAGGTAAATCACATTTGACTTTTTGATGTAGTGAGAGGGGGCTAGTCTAAAGATTGCTCCAGTCATAACTTTCAGATCTATTATCTATTGACAATAGAGCAGTCAAATATCCCAACCCATTTTGGCCTTCTGTTATCCAAGTCTCTAAGTATCTGGAGGCTCATGCTGAGTTGCCCCACTGACTAAAGTAAATATGCCCAATAGGAGCACAGTTTTTTATTTTATTTTATTTGTTATTTTTTGTACAACATAGAAGTAAATCAGGGTCAGTTATTTCACCACAAGCTGTTAATAGCATCTCCTCCTTAATCTGGTCCCAATGATTGCTTTTACATATGTTAGGGAGTCCTAATAAATTGTTTAGAAAGGAGGATCCAATGCATATCTCTGAGATATAATTGGGAGGCCATCAGTTTAAGGTGAGGCAGGAAACAAGAGTTAAGAGAAATGAAGAAGCTGAATTCTACAGGAGGGTCCAATGGAGCAATTTGTAAGGTGGCTGGACCTGGGATGTTAGTAAAATCTGTTACAGGTTGAACTGGTGGGGGTGGAAGTCACTAGAATCCATCTGTTGTGTTCTGATGATAAATCTGTATTAGTCACGGTTCTCTAGAACTCTCACTCACTCCCTTTCCTCAGGCTTCTCAATTTCCTGAAACACAAAAATGTGGAAAATAGGCCAGTCTATAACTTCTCAATGGCCTCTAAATGTTCAAGTGAAAGGAAGAGCTGTATGTCTTTCATTTTAAATCAAAAGCTAGAAATGATTAAGCTTAGTGAGGATGGTATGTCTAAAGCTGAGATAGGGCAAAAATAGGCCTCTTGCACCAAACAGTCAAGTTGTGAACGCAAAGAAAAAGTTCTTGAAGGAAATTAAAAGTGTTAACTCAGTGAACACATGAATGATAAGAAAGCAAAACAGCCTTATTACTGATATGGAGAAAATTTTAGTGTTCTGATTAGATCAAAGTTGCCACACCATTCCCTTAAGCCAAAGCCTAATTCAAAACAAGACCCAACTCTTCAATTCTATGAAGAGTAAGAGAGGTGAGGAAGCTGCAGAAGAAACATCTGCAGTTAGCAGAAATTAGTTCATGAGGTTTAAGAAAAGAAGCTGTCTTCATAACAAAATGCAAGGTGAAGCAGCAAGTGCTGATGTAGAAGCTGCAGCAGGTTATCCACAAGCTAAGAAAATTGATGAATGTGACTAGACTAAACAATAGATTTTCAGTGTAGGCCAAACAGCCTTTTATTGGAAGAAGATGCCATATAGCACTTTCGTAGCTAAGGAGAAGTCAATGCCTGGCTTCAATGCATCAAAGACAGGCTGACTCTCTTGTTAGGGACCAATGCAGATGATGACTAAGTTGAAACCAATGCTTATTTACCATTCCAAAAATCCTTGATAATTTTGCTAAATCTACTCTTCCTGTACTCTATAAATGGAACAATAAGCCTGAATTACTGAATATTTTAAGCCCACTGTGGAGACATATTGCCTTGAAAGATTCCTTTCAAAACAGTGCTGCTCATTGGCAGTACAGCTGGTCACCCAAGAGTTCTAATGGAGTTGTGCAAGAAGATTAATGTTGTTTTCATGTCTGCTAACACAATACCCATTCTGTGGCACATGAATCAAAGAGTCATTTAAACTTTTAAGTCTTATTATTTCAGAAATACATTTCCTGAGGCTATAGCTGCCATAGATAGTGATTCCTCTGATGGATCTGGGTGAAGTAAATTGAAACCTTCTGGAAAGCATTTGCCATTCTATATGCCACTGAGAACATTATAATTCATGAGAGGAGGTCAAAATATCAACATTAAGTTTGAAGTTTGAAGAACGTGGATGTAAAACCTTATGGATGACTTTAAGGGGTTCAAGACTTCAGTAGAAAAAGTAACTGCGGATGTGGTAGACATACCAAGATAACTAGAATTAGAAGTGGAGCCTATAGATGTGACTGAATTACTGCAACCTTATGATTAAACCTGAACAAATGAGAAGTTGCGTTTTATGGAAAAGCAAAGAAGGTGGTTTCTTGAGATGGGATCTACTCCCAGTGAAGACACCATGAACATCATTGAAATGACAACAAAGAATTTAGAAAATAGAACTTCCATTTAGCCCAGCAATCCCACTACTGGATATCTACCCAGAGGAAATGAAATCTTCTACTAAAAGACACATGCATCGTATTTTATTGCAGCACTGTTTGCAATAGCAAAGTCATAGAATCAACCTAAGTGCTCATCAACAGAAGATTGGATAAAAAAAATGTAGTACATATTGACCATGGAGTACTACACAGCCACAAAAAAGAAGGAAATCATGTTATTTGCAGCAACATGGATACACCTGGAGGGCATTATCCAAGTGAATTAATGCAGGAATAGAAAACCAATTACTACATGTTCTTATTTTTAAGTAGGCACTTAACAATGGGTACACAGGAGCATACATATGCAAACAATAGACACTGGAACTCCAAAAGGGAGGGCAAGGGTTGAAAACTACCTATTGGACGCTGTGTACACTATTTGGGTGACGGGTTCAACAAAAGCCCAAACCCCAACATTATACAATATACCCACATAACGAACCTGCTCATGTACACTTGAATCTAAAATAATTTTAAAAAGAGAAATTTAGAATATTACATATTAGTTAATAAAGAAAAAGCAGAGTTTGAAAATATTGACTTATAGTTTGAAAGAAATTCTATTGTGGGTAAAATACTGTGAAACATTGCATGCTACAGAGAAACCTTTCATGAAAGGAAGAGTCAACAGATGCAACAAACTTAATTGTTGAAGTTATTTTAAGAAATTAATTGCCACAGCCAAGCAAGCCTTCAGGAACCACCACTCTGATCACTCAGCAGCCATCGACATCAAGGTGAGACCTTCCATCAGCAAGAAGATTATGGCTCTCTAAAGGCTCAAATGATCTTTAGCATTTTTTATCCATAAAATATTTTTAAATTAAGATATGTGCATTTGTTATTGACATATAACAACATACATGTGAGTGTTTGTTACATGCATAGAATGTGAAATGAGCAAATCAGGTTATGTGGGGTATTCATCACCTTGAGTGTTTACCATTTGTATGTGTTGGTATCATTTCAAGTTCTCTCCTTTAGTTACTTTGAAATATACATAATATTGTTGCTAATTATAGTCATCCTAGTCTGCTATCAAATATTAGAACTTATTTCTTCTACCTAATTGTATGTTTGCACCCATAGCCAACCTCTCTTTACTTCCCAACCCCTGACCCTTCCCAGAATCTAGTATCTATTGTTCTATTTTGAATGTCTGTGAGCTTAAATTTTTTAGCTCCCACATGTGAGTGAGAACATGTGGTATCTGTCTTTCTGTGCCTGGCTTATTTCACTTAACATAATGACCTCCAGCTCCATCCATGTTGCTGCAAATGATGTGATTTCATCTTTTTTTTGTGACCAAATAGTATTCTATTGTGTATATACACCACATTTTCTTCATCCGTTTATCCACTGATGGACACTTATGTTGATTCTGTATCTTTGTTGTTTTGAATAGAACTGGGATAAATGTGCAGTTGATATTCTGATTTCTTTTCCCTTGGATAGATACCCTATAGTGAGATTTCTGGATCACGTGGTAGTTCTATTTTTAGTTTAGTTTTTTTTTTTTTTGAGAAATCTCCATACGTTTTCTATAGTGCTTGTACTAATTTACATTCCCAACAATAGTATATGAGAGTTCCCTTTTCTCTATGTCCTTGCCAGCATCTGGTATTAAGCACTTAATAAAATACAGTATAATGTAAACATTACTTTTTCTTTTTATTATTTATTTATTTATTTTTTTTTGAGATGGAGTCTCGCTCTGTCATCCAGGCTGGAGCACAGTGCACAGTGGCACCATCTCGGCTCGCTGAAACCTCCGCCTCCCTGGTTTAAGCGATTCTCCTGCCTCAGCCTCCCAAGTAGCTGGGATTACAGGTGCGTGTCACCACGTCCGGATAATTTTTTGTATTTTTAGTAGAGACGGGGTTTCACCATGTTAGCCAGGATCATCTTGATCTCCTGACCTCGTGATCCGACTGCCTAGGCCTCCTGAAGTGCTGGGATTACAGGCGTGAGCCACCATGCCCAGCCCATTACTTTTATATGTACTGAGAAACAATAAAATTTGTGTGACTCATTTTATCACGATACTTGCTTTATTGTGGGTGGGACCAAATCCACAATAGCTTAGAGGTATGCCTGTAGATGAGCTATACAGCAACAACATCTGACTGGATATAGTTGACATGTATAGACTACTCCAACCAACAGAAGATAACATATTCTTCTCAAGTTCACAGTTCAACCAATAGATGATTATATATTCTTTGCAAGTTCACCAAGATAGACCACTTTCTGTGCCATAAAAACACCTTAACAAGTTCAACAGAATAGAAGTAATACAATATCTGCTCTGAAACTATACCAGAAGTCAATCAACAGAAAGAAACTAGAAATCAATACAAAAAGATAACTGAGAAATCCTCCCCAAATATTTTAAACTAAATAAAAATAAAAATACAATTATCAATATTTGTGGGTTGCAGTGAAAGCAGCTGTTATAGAGAAATTTATAAGATTGAATGAATATATTAGAAAAGCGAAGGATCTAAAATGAATAATGCAATCTCCAACTTTAGAAAACTAGAAAGAGTATATTATATCCAAAGTAAGCAGAAGAAAAAAAATAATAAAAATTAGAGAAGACACCAGTGAAATTAAAAATAAGAAATAAAAAAATTATCAAAATCAAAAGGTGGTTATTAGGAAAGATCAATAAAATCAATAAACCCTTAGCATAAATATAAAATGCAAAACCATAAAACTCCTAGAAAATAATATAGAAGAAAATCTAGATTATCTAATTAAGAAAAATGAGAAAAGACACAAATTATTCATGTCAGAAAAGAGAGAAAGAACATCACTATAGGTTGCATGGATACTAAATGAATAATAAAAAAATTATGAACTTGTCCTCGTACACAAATTTGATAACCTAGATGAAATAGACCAATTCTATAAAATGCACAATCTGCCAAAACTTAGAGAAGAAGAAATAGATCATCCGAATAGGCATATATATTATAGAAATGGAATCAACAATTAATAATCTTCCAAAACAGAAAATGCCAGGCTCAAATGAGTTTACTGGTAAATTCTACCAAATATTTTAAGTAGAAATTATGTCAGTTCTCTACAATCAATTCCAGAAAGTAGAAGCAGGAGGAACACTTTCAAATTCATTCTATGAGGCCAGCATTATCCTAATAACAAAACCAAAGACATTACAACAAAAGTTACAGATTAATTTCTCTTATTAATACAATGCAAAAAATTCTCAACAAATACTAGCAAATTAAATCCAAAAATGTAAAAATAAAGTATAACCATGATCAAGTAGGATTTATTCCAGTTATGCAAGGCAGTTTCAACTAAAAACCAACTAATGCAATCCACCACATCAACAGACTAGAGATGAAAAATAACATGATAATATCAATAAATACAGGAAAAGCATATAGGAAAATACAACACCTATTGATGATAAAAACTCCCAGAAGACTGGGAACACAGGTGAAACTTCTTCAGTTTGAGAAAGATATCTATGAACAACATGAAGCTAACAATGTACTTAATAATGAGAAACTTGAAGGTTTCTTGCTAAGATCAGGAACAAAGAAAGGATATTCCCTCTCACTATTGCTTTGCCATACAGTACTAAAAGTGCTAGATAATGCTGTAAAAAAAGAAAAGGTAAGCAGATTAAGAAAGAAAAAATACAACTGCTTTTCAGACCACAGACTATGTAAAAATTTTTAAAAATTGACAAAGAAACTCCTGGAACCAAGAGTTATTATAGTAAGATCGCTGGATATAAGGTTAATATACAAAAATCAATCACTTTCTTCTATATGTGCAATAAAAAAGTGGAATTTTAAAGTAAAAACACATTACCATTTATATTAGCACCCCAGAATGAAATACATAGGTGTAAGTCTAACGAAATGTGTACAAAATATCAATGAGAAAAACTGCAAAACTCTGATGAGAGCTATCAGGAGATCGAGACCATCCTGGCTAACACGGTGAAACCCTGTCTCTACAAAAAATACAAAAAATTAGCCGGGCGTGGTGGGGGGTGCCTGTAGTCCCAGCTACTCGGGAGGCTGAGGTAGGAGAATGGCATGAACCCGGGAGGCAGAGCTTGCAGTGATCTGAGATCGCACCACTGCACTCCAGCCTCGGCGACAGCAAGACTCTGTCTCAAAAAAAAAAAAAAAAAAAAAAAAAAGAATTAAATGAAGGTAGAAAGATATTCCATATTCAGCGGTAGAAAGACTCAATGTTGTCAGTATATTAGCTCTTCCAACCTGATCTATAGCTTCAATGCAGTCCCTGTCAAAATTCCAGACAGTTTGTTCATGAATTGATAAACTGGTTAAAAAGTTTTTATAAAGAGGTAGAAGACCTAGAATGACTGACTCAATATTGAAAGAGAAGAACAAAGTTGGAGAACTAACAACAACTTGAAGACTTAAAAGCTACAGTAATCAAGACGGTGGTATTGGCAAAAGAACAGAAAAATAGATCAAATGAACAAAATAGCCTGGAAATAAACCCACATAAATATAGTCAAGAGATTTTTGACAAAGGAGCAAAGACAATATAATGGAGCAAAGATAGTCTTTTCAAAAAATGGCATTGGAACAAGTAAACATCCACATGTCAGAAAAAAAAAAAGGAATCTAGACACAGATCTTACATTCTTCTGAAAGTAAATCAAAACACATTATAAACCTAAATATAAAATGCAAAACTATAACCCTTCTAGAAAATAACATAGGAGAAAACCTAGATGATCTTTAATATGGCAATTATTTTTTAGACACAACACCAAAAGCATAATCCATGAAAGACATAATTGATAAGCTGGACTTTATTAAAATTAAAAAATTCTGCTCTTTGAAGGACAGTGTCAAGAGAATGAGAAGACAAGTCATAGGGAGAAAATATTTGCAAAAGACATGTCTCATAAATGACTGTTATCCAAAATATATGAAAAAGTTTAAAACTCGACAGTAAGAAAATGAGCAACCTGATTGAATAATGAGCAAAACACCTGAACAGACACCAAACCAAAGAAGATATACAGATGACAAGTAAGCATATAAAAAGATGTTCAATGACATATGTTTATGGCATTAGAGAAATGCAATAAAACAACAACAGTGTACCATTACACTTATTAGAATAGCAAAAACCCAGAACATTGACAATATCCATTGCTGGCAAGAATGTGGAGCAACAGGAACTCTCATTCATTGCTAGTGGGAATACACAATGGTATAGCCACTTTGGAGGGCCATTTAGCAGTTTTGTATAAAACTAAACATATTCTTACCACACAATATAGCAATTGCACTTCTTTGTGCACCTGCTCACAGATGTTTATAGCAGCTGTATTCATAATTGCCCAAACTTGAAAGCCTTCAAACCATCCTTTGGTATATGAGTGGATAAATAAACAGTAGCACATCTAGACAATGGGATATTATTCAGTACTAAAAAAGTGAGCTATATATAAAGCCACGAAAAGATATGGAGAAAAGTTAAATGCATATTACTAAGTGAAAGAAGCCAATCTAAAAAATATGATTCCAAATAAATGACATTCTGGAAAAGCCAAAATTATGGAAGTGTAAAAGAGATTAGTGGCTGCCAGGGGTTGGGGGTGGTGAGGGAGGAGAAGCAGATAAATAGGCTGAGCACGGAGTATTTTTAGGGCAGTAAAACTATCCTGTATAATATTACAATGATGGATGTATGTCATTATCTATTTTTCAGAATGTATAGAATTTATAACATCAAATGTGAATCCTTATATATACTGTGGACTTTGATTGGTAATGATGGGCCAATGTAGGTTCATTTTAACAAATGTACCACTCTGCTAAGGGATGTTGACAGTGGGGAAAGGGAGCTTTGTGTGGATGGGGTTAAGTGTATATGAAAACCTCCTGTACTTTCTGAACAGTTTTGGGAGAAACTGAAACTGCTCTAATAAATATAACTTATTAATTAAAAAATAAATGGAAATTGTAATGCTTACTTGACCATAGAGGTGAGTATGTATATTGGAATATGTGAGAGCAATACAAATGTAAATAATTAAGTTGTTGTAGATTCAAGATAATCATAAAATTGATAAGTTTGTTAACACTTGTGTAATTTAGACATAAAGAAAAAATCCATGACGTAAGAGAATATTAATGCAACTATTTTTCATTAAAAATTATCTAAAAAGTGAGATGATCATGTCCTGGTAATAGTTACATTGTTGTTCTAGAGAAAGCATTATGAGCTTTTATGAAACATTTCTGAGTTTTAAAAAATCGATGCTTCCAATTTGAAAAAAGTGCTGGTAGAAAAAGATGTCAATAGAGAAACAGCTCAATGATCTTTAAATTGTGTTTGTAGGCCTCCCTTGGGCAATAGTTTTGAAAATCTTGACATTCCGAGTGTTTCTTTATGGGTTCTGAAGATCTCTGGCAGAACCAAGCATCAGAAGTATTTCAGACAGCTAAAGAGTTGTAGCCTTTATCCTCAAGGCACATGTCATTTTTAATCATGTCTGACTTTTCCTTCATTTTCTAGTCTAAAACGGGACCAGTTTCTAACACTTAAAATAAGTACAGAGCTCTCTTGCTCTAGGATCTATGCTAAATATAGTATAAACATTTTTTTTTTTCAGTGAAAGCTTCTATCTGATTGTCTTTGTTTTTATCAGCTTTAATTGTTCAAATCTATTATTCTAAATTATTTTCATCTTGGGAATTAATGATTACTTAACAGTCATTTGGAATATGTTTTATGAGGCATTTAAACAGCCTACAGATGTGACATGGTATTTACATCAATGTGCATTTTCATAAAAAGTTTATGCTTCTATTTTAGTTTTCAGCAGTAACTGCCTATTTTAATTCAAATAATTAATTTGAATTAATTCAAATTAACTCCATTACAAATGGTCTGATAAGGTTTTTCTAGCAGCTTGGTGTGAGGGAAGGAGGTATGGTTTGGTTAATAGGTACTCAGTAACCTGGCTACACTATTTTGGTGGAATAAAAACTATTTAACTTGGTTTTTACCCTGACAAACAATTGAGTATCTACATGTTATATAAAATTATTAAAATCATGTCAGATTGTTGGTTATTGTTAATTTTAGGATTTAGCCTTGGAGAATCAAGAGATAATGTTAGGGTTTAACAGCATCTCTCTATTGTTTTCACATAATCTGAAATAAGGAAAGTCAGTGAAAAGATGAACAGGAGAGTCAGAACTATGGAGAAGCATTTGAGAACACATATATGAATAAAGGGTGTTGATAATTTTGGTTAGATGAGTATGTAGTATCAGGATTATAGTTCAAATGAAAGTTAACATATATGAAATCTGAGAAGATTGCTGCTCCATTGGTTCTTTATTTCTCCAATTATAGGTCATCATATTTAAAGCTAACATAGAGTTACGGAGAATGAAGTGAATGTCCTGGTGGCCTTGTATGATACTCCCAGTTATGAATTCTGAGATAACGGGTTAATCTGGAGTCCTATTTTTGTGAGTGTTTAATTGCTTCCTGAGAGCAAGGAAATATAGAGCCCAATAATCTGTCCCCTTAGAACATGAGAGAAAGAAGAAATGACTCTGATAAGGTTATGCAAGAGGTCATCCTGAGGATGACAGTGGAGTGGGGGATTTTTAAGCTTGTTTTCTTACCTGAAACAGTAGCTTATGATCAATAAGGAAAATATGCATTAGTTTGTAACCTTTAATTCTCTTTGATTTTATTTCTATAGAACTCCTTCAATTACCTAATAAACAAGACTATAAAACTGAAACCTCGGGTGGCAATCTGGAAACCTAAAGGTCTGCAAGAGTTGGAAGGAAAAAAAAAGTTTCCTCTCTTTGTGGCAGTAGATCTAGCTCAAGAAATGAGGAGTGAGGTGTGGTAGTCTCTGTGTTTTGTGAGTAGCAAGAGAGCAAGTCAGCAGGCATGTTGGAGAGTGAGCCTGGGAAGCATGCAGAGCGGGAAGAGCTAGAGGGTTCAGAGGCCCTTTCATAATAGTAAGGACAGGGCTCAGAAGCCAGCATAGCCTAGGCAACAAACAAACAAATAAATCAACCAAAGCAAGTCCTAGAGAATTATCAAATATTTGTTGAATTGAATTAAAATAGGTAGTTAAAATGAAAATCAGTATTGGTTTATTAACTTTATGAAGGTTAGTATTGGTTTATTAACTTTAGATCAGGTTTATTTAAGGACTTATTATTACACAGTGCTTAGACTTTTATCCTTTGCCTTTGGAGTGGGCATTTTATGCATCAACATGCCTAATGCTTGTTAGGGATTAGTGGAATTAACAGAGCATCACCTGGTTGGCCTCTGGTGCCCCCTTCTCAGTTGATATAGGCCCAAATCATCTCATAGAGTCTATAACCTCACAGGATAAGAGGAGAGAATTATCCATTCTACACTCTATACTAATAAGCTTCCAAAACTTATATTATCTTTGGAAATCCTTGCCTCTTACCTGAAGGATAAAGTGGCTGAGGGTATGGAGGCTAGTTTTCAGTGTTTTATGACAATGTTAAACAACAATGATTTTCCTCCATAATAATCACCTAGATGACGGGTTGATGAGTGCAGCAAACCACCGTGGCACATGTATACCTATGTAACAAACCTGTACGTTCAGCACGTGTATCCCAAAACGTAAAGTAAAAAACAAAACAAAACAAAACAAAACAAAACAAAAACAAAAAAACCCACAAGTATGCCACAAACACGCAATAGAATGAAATAAATAATCACCCAAGGGCACAATGCTATGGTTATTTTCTTGACCTCATTTCACACAATTCTTTGAAAAAGACTTGAATATTATTCTTAGATAATTTCTCACTAGCCTGCACAGAAACCTTATAATTTTGAGTTTTAAAGTTTCTACCCTGAAATTTTAGCAAAAAATTTTCCCCCAAGAACTGCTGGCAAAAAAAATCCAACATCTTTACCATTACCTTACGCTTCTTACCAAGTTAACATTGTTATGATAAATAGCATCAGATGCTGTATGCTTGGAATTGTTTTTAATAAATCAATTTCCATTATGATGCTCTTTAAATATGGAAATACAAAGTGTTGCTAGCAAAGATAGTCTGCTAGTTTATTAAAATTAAATTTATTAAAATTCAGAGGTGGCTAAAAGAGGAATGTTACTGGCTTATCAACATTTGAAGCTTTCAGTTTTTTCCTACAAGATTTATTTATTATACAAGCACAAAGGATTAGATGAAAGGGGAAAGTTTTATCTCGAGTTGCCCAGGTATGCATCTTTAGAAAGGCTGTGTAAATTTGTGTGTAGAGGAGATGAAGTAGGGAGTGCTGTTATTGCTCCTCAAAACAAACTAAACTGGATTTATCTTCATTGCCACAATAAGATAAGAAAGTTGGTCAGAGGAAAAAGTTATCAGGAAGAGTTAAGTTGCAGACCTCTCACTTCAAAGAATCTCAACTCATCAGGGTTGCAGCAAACCAGTCAAATCAGATCTGAGGCTTCCACACAGAGGGGCCCTTCAAAGACTTGCCTTAAAACTGTTGGGTCTCCTCAGATCATTGTTCCTGCAGTGACTTCCTTGGCATTGATATTAGTGTCCTCTGTCCCTGCCGAATGCTGCACACAATCCTGCAGTGGTGAGTGAAACAATACAGAAATAGACTCTCTAGAATAAGCTGCTCATTCAAAAAAGCAGAATCAAAATGCATATAAAACACAACAGACCACATTTTTATCTTCTCTCTAGTAGAACACCTGCTTTGATCATCCAGTGATAGGGAGTCTATGGACCTGAAAGAAAACAATTCTGTTATGTTATGAATGCATTCATTCATTGTTATTTTATTATGAAATATAAGATTGTGTTCCTTGTTATTGATATGAAGTCTTTTTCTAAACTTCCATACATTGATCTATGCTTGCTTTGAGGTTGCTAATTTTAAAGTAATTCTGGTTTTGCTTTTATAAGCACCTCTTCTATATTTAAGGACTGCTCTCCTATTCTCAGAAAGTATTCCCAATTCCAGTATAAACATCCTAGTGTCTTGTAACATTTCTTACATAAAATGGCAAGGTCTCTTAGTGTTATAGTCACCATTCTCAAAAGTCTCTACAGTTTTATCACAGTTCATTTAAAACATGGTAATCAGAAATAAATATAATACACAGTACAGTTCAGGGAAGAGGTAAAGCAAAATGGTGGAACAGAAGGTTCTGCTCCTCCCTCAAGGACACCAATTTAACAACTGTCTACACAGTAAAAACATCTTCATAAGAACCAGAAATCAGATGAGCCTTCCTCATACCTGGTTTCATCTTTGTATCACTGAAATAGGCACAGAAGATATAGAAAAAACAAACAGCCTTAAATTGCTGATACCACTCGTCCACCAAACCCAGCTGCCAAGGCGTGGTGCAAAGAGCATCTCTGGGCCCTGCGGGAGGGCAAACACAGCAACTGGGAGACAATGAACTCAGTGCTGTCCTATTAGAGCAGAATGGAAGACCAGACCGAATTCATCTGACACCCACCCATGGAGGGAGCATTTATACTCGCACTAACCAGAGGGCAGTTGCCAATTCCGGAGGTCTGAACGTGACTTCCCACAAACTCTGCCACCAAGGGCCACAGTGCTCTGCGTCTCTAAGTAAACTTAAAAGGTAGTGTAGGCCATAAGGACTGCAATTCTTAGGTAAGTTCTAGTCCTCAAATGAGCCCAGACACAGTGGATTCGGTGGAGTGCATGCGACCTGAGACATCAGCCAAGGTGGTTAAGGGAATGCTGGCATCACCCCCCTCCTAATCCCAGACTGCTTCACAAGAGATCCCTTCCTTCTGCTTGAGGACAGGAGAGGGAAGAGTGGGGAGAACTTTGTCTTGCATCTTGGATACCAGCTCAGCCACAGCAGGATAGGGCACTGATCTGATTTGTGAGGCCCTCATTCCAAGACCTAGCTCCTGGAAGACATTTCTAGACACACTCTTGGTGAAAAGGGCACCCACTACCTTGAAGGGAAGGACCCAGTTCTGGCAACATTCATCATTTGCTTACTGAAGAGCTCTTGGGCCCCGAATAACCAGCAGCAATACCCAGGTACTATACTGAGGGCCTTGAGTGAGGCTGTGAGTCTTCCCTGTTTCAGGTGAGATACAGCACATCATCAGCCGCGGTGGCTGTGGGGTGAAACTCCTTCGGCTTGTGAAAAGCAGAGGCAAAAGTAAAGGGGAATTTGTCTTACACCTTATGTACCATCATGGCCATGGGGACGTAGAGCACCAAGCAGCCTCTTGGAGTCCCAATTCCAGGACTTGACTCGTGGATGGCATTTCTGGACTTGTCCTTGGCCAGAGGGGAGCCCCCTGTCCTGAAGAGTGAATCCAGGCAGAATTCATCTTGGGCTTTAAGGGAATATTTGCAGTAGTCTTGCAGTACTCCCTGTGGCTTGTGGTGGCAGTGGGTATGGGATGAAGCTCCTCTACCTTTGGAAAGAGTGGGAAGAGCTGCATCTTGTGGTGTGAGTGCCAGCTCAGCTGCAGTACAGTAGAACACCAGGTAGACTTTTAGGGATTTTGGCTCTGGTTCCTGTCTCCTGGATAGCATCTCTGGACCCCACCCAGGGCCTGGGAGAGCTCGCTGCCCTGAAGGGAAGGACACAGGCCTGGCTGGCTTTGCTGCCTGCTGAATGCAGAGGCCCAGGGCCTTGAGTGAACATAGGCAGTAGCCAGGGAGTAGTTACAGTATCTCTTGTGTGAGATCCAGGGCTGTGCTGGCTTCACATCTGACCCAGCATAGTCATAGTGGTGGTGGCCATGGGAGTGCTTGTGTCACTCTACTACAAGCTTTAGGTGGCTCAGAACAGAGAGATGAGACTGTTTGTTTAGAAGAAAGTAAGAGACGAGAGCAAGAGTCTCTGCCTAGTAATACAGATAATTCTCCCACATTTTGTCTAAGACAATCAAGGTGGTACCCCTACAAGTCTGCAAGAATCACAGTATTATGGGACTTGAGGTGCCTCCAAAAGCAGAAACAGCTTATATCACAACACTCAAGTCCTTTCAAATACCTGAAAAGCCTTCACAAAAAGAATGGGTACAGATAAGCCAAGACAATGAAGACTACAATAAACACCTAACTCTTCAATGGCCAGACACCAAAGAACATCTACTAGCATCAGCACCATCCAGGAAAAGATGGCCTCACCAAATGAACTACATAAGGCACCAGGGACCAATCTTGGAGAAACAGAGATGTGTGACCGTTCAGAGACAGGATTTAAAATAGCTACGTTAAAGAAACTAAAAAATATTAAAGATGACACAGAGGAGGAATTCGGAATGCTATTAGATACATTTAACAAAGAAATTGAAATAAAAAGAATCAAGCAGAAATTCTGGAGCTGAAAAATGCAATTGGCGTACTTAAGAATCAAAGTCATTTAATTGCAGAATTGATCAAGGAGAAGAGAGAATTAGTAAGCCTGAAAACAAGCTATTTGAAAATACATAGTCAAAGGAGACAAAGGACAAGACTAAAAAACAGAGAAGCACACCTATGAGATCTAAAAAATAATCTCAAAAGGGCAAACCTAAGAGTTATTGGCCTTAAAGAGGAGGCAGAGAAAGAGATAGAGGTAGAAAGTTTATTCAAAGGGATAATAACCATAAAGAAAATCTGGGACTCAATGACTTCATTGCTGAATTCTACCAAACATTTAAATAACTAATAACAATCTCACTCAAACTTTTCCAGAAAATAGAGGAGGAGGTAATACTTCCAAACTCATTCTACAAGGCCAGTATTACCCTGATGCCAACACCAGACAAAGACACATCAAAAACAAAACAAACAAAACAAAACTGCAGGTCAATATACCTGACAAATATTGACACAAAAATCATGAACAAAATACTGGTAAAACAAATTCAACAATACATTAGAAAGATCATTCATTATGACCAGGTAGGATTTATCCCTGGGATTCAAGTATAGTTCAACATACACAAATCAATCAGTGTGATACATCATATCAACAGGATGAAGGATAAAAACCATATCATCATTTAAATTGATGCTGAAAGAGCATTTGAAAAAATTCAACATTGCTTTGTGATTAAAAAAACTTAAAGAACTGGTATAGAAGGAACATATCTCAACATAATAAAAGCCATATATGATAGACCCACAGTTAGTATTATACTGAATGAGGTAAAACTGAAAGCCTTTCTTCTAAGATCTGGAACATCACAAGGATGCTCACTTTCATCGCTGTTATTCAACATCATACCAGAAGTCCCACCTACAGAAGTCAGACAAGAGAAAGATATAAAGGGCATCCAAATTGCAAAGGAAGAGATCAAATATCCTTGTTGTATCCTAATACAAGATGACGTAATCTTGTATTAGGAAAAACCTAAACAGTCCACAAAATAGCTATTAGAACTGATAAACAAATTCAGTAAAGTGGCAGGATACAAAATCAACATACAAAAATCAGTAACATTTCTATATGTCAACAGCGAATAATGTGAAAAAGAAATTAAAAATGTAATCTCATTTATAATGTGATAATTCCTTACCAAGGAATTAGTAAAATAAGTGGAAGATCTCTATAATGAAAACTATAAAACACCGATGAAAGAAATTGAAGAAGACACAAAAAAATGGAAAATTATTTCATGTTATTGGATTGAAAGAATAAATATTGTTAAAATGTCCATACTACCCAAAGAAATATACAGTTTCAATGCAATCCCTATCAAAATACCAATGGGATTCTTCACAGAACTAGAGAAAACAATCCTAAAATTTCCATAGAACCACAAATGACACAGAATAGCCAAAATGAAGCTAAGCAAAAATAACAAAACTGGAAGAATCACATTACCTGACTTGAAAGTATGCTACAGAGCTATTATAATCCAAACAGCATGGTACTGGTGTAAAAACAGACATACAGACCAATGGAACAGGATAGAGAATGCAGAAAAAAATCCACACACCTACAGTGAACTCATTTTTGACAAAAGTGCCAAGAACATACATTGGGGAAATGACAGTCTCTTCAATAAATAGTGCCAGACTAGATACCCAGATGCAGAATGAAACTAGACCCCTGTCTCTCACCATATTAAAAAATCAAATAAAATGGGTTAAAGATTTAAATCTAATATCTCAAACTATAAAACTACTACAAGAAAACATTGAAGAAAATATCCAGGACATTGGTCTGGACAAAGATTTCTTGAGCAACACCCCACAAGCACAGGCAACCAAGGCAAAAATGAACAAATGGGATCACATCAAGTTAAAAAACTTCTGCACAACAAAGGTTACAATCAACAAATTGAAGAGACAACACACAGAATGGGAGAAAATATTTGTGAACTACCCATCTGAGAAGGGATTAATAACCAGAATATATAAGAACCTCAAATATCTCTATAGGAAAAAAATCTAATAATCCAATTAAAAAATGAGCAAAATATTTGAATAGACATTTCTCAAAATAAGACATATAAATGGCAAACAGGCATATGAAAAGGTGTCCAACAATCATTTATCATCAGAGAAATGCAAATCAAAACTACAATGAGATATCATCTCACCCTAGTTAAAATGGATTACATTCAAAAGACAGGCAATAATAAATTCTGGTAAGGATGTGCAGTAAAGGGAACCCTTGTACACTGTTGGTGGGAATGTAAACTAGTACAACCACTATGCAGAACAGTTTGGAGGTTCCTCAAAAATACTAAAAACTGGCCCAGCGCAGTGGCTTACGCCATTAATCCCAGCACTTTGGGAGTCCGAGGCGGGCAGATCACGAGGTCAAAGATTGAGACCATCCTGGCCAACATGGTGAAACCCTGTCTCTACTAAAAATACAAAAATTAGCTGGGCGTGGTGGCGCATGCCTGTAATCTCAGCTACTCAGCAGGCTGAGGTAGGAGAATCACTTGAACCCGGAGGTGGAGGTTGCAGTGAGCCAAAATCACACCATTGCACTCCAGCCTGGGTGACAAGAGCAAAACTCTGTCTCAAAAACAAAAACAAAACAAACAAAAAAAAAACCTAAAACTAAAAACTGAGCTACCATATGATCCAGCAATCCCACTGATGGGTATATATCTAAAAGAAAGAAAATCAGTCAGTAGAAGAGATATCTGAACCTTTATGTTTGTTGCAGCACTGTTTACAATAGCTAAGATTTGGAAACAACTGAAACATCCATTAACAGATGAATGAATAAAGAAAATGTGGTACATGTACACAATAGAGTAAATAGTCATCTTTAAGAGAGTAAATATTTATCCTTAAAAGAGTAAATATTCATCCTTAAAAGAGAATGAGATCCAGCTATTTGCAGCAACATGAATGGAGCTGGAGATTATTATGTTAAGGGAAAGAAGTCAGGCACAGAAAGACAAACATTGCATGTCTTTACTTACTTGTGGGATCTAAAAAACAAAACAACTGATTAACATAGAGACTAGAAGGATGGTTACCAGAGGATGAAAAGAGTACTAGGGGTATAGGTGGGGAGGTGTGGATGTTTAATGGGTACAAAAAAATAGGAAGAAAGAATAATATTTACTATTTGGTGGCACAACAGAGTGACTACAGTCAATAATAACTTAATTGTACGTTTAAAAATAACTATAAGAGTATAATTGGATTGTTTGTAATATAAAGGATAAATGCTTGAGGGGATGGATACACCATTCTTCATGATGTGCTTATTTCACATTGCATACCTGTATCAAAACATCTCATGTACCCATAAATGTATATACCTACTATGTACTCACAAAAATAAAAAAATACATATATTAACAAAATACACTACATATGATCTGACCAATATTGAGTGCACAGGTCTAAGTTCATTCTTTCCTCTTTTAGTATAGATTAGGAGTTTATGAATGTTTTTGGTAACCAGTTGCATATATTGGCTTATACTGAGTTTTAGGTAACTAAAATGCTTATTTCTTTTTCTAAGTGAATTATTTAACTGATTTACTTGAAGAGTAATGCAGAATATTACATTTATTAAATTTTACCTTGCTGGTTTTGGCCTTGATCTTGACTTGATAATTCTGGATTATTTGTTATCATCTGTGTACTTATATAGAAATATAAAACAAGAAGAAATAGTGAGTCTTGCTGTTCCAATAGAAAATAACCTGTACGTTGTCTTAATCCTCTTTACATAAGATTTTTTCAACTGGCTACAAATCCAGTAAGTTCATATATTGTTCTAGCTTATCTTACATGGACAATTCCTCAGATGCCTTGTTGAACAGACTGTCATGTCTTTACAGTATCCATACTGCTTCCTGGTGAGTACCAGCTTAACAAATCATGTATTTAAAATCCCACTCTAAATGTTTTCATGTATGTGTGTCATAGTTTTGGACCCTCTTTCTAGAATTCAGATTTATTATAAAGAGAATTCATATTTTATCTTTTTTGAGACCAACAAGATAGGTTTTAAACCTAACCAAACTATCATTAATAGCTTTTCCATAGTGATGTATGCAAATTCCTTCCCACACCTTGGACTATATAATTCATGATAAATTGCATGAGGGATCTGGGGCTTGAATCTGAATATAATAGTGTGATTTTAATTGGGGTCACTTAGAATGTTTGTAATATCAGTTAAATGACTTACATTCTTCGTGACTTGGTCTATAAGGATGATGAATATGAAAGCACTGATCGCAGTAACTATCAACCTTGGATTTAAATATATATACAATATATAATGTACCCATCTTTACACTTTTTCCTAAATTCAGCCAGATAATTAATTTTATGGAATATTGCTAGATAGCATATTTCCTCTACCTCCCCATTCATAGTACCTTTGGGAATAACTACTACTAGTCACAACTAAAATATTAATTAAATGGAAATTTGGCTAGACATCATGGCTCACACCTGTAATCCCAGTGCTTTGGAAGGCCAAGGAGATAAGATCATTTGATACCAGGAGTTAAGAGCAGCTGGGGCCACGTAGGGAGACCCTGTGATATGGTTTGGATTTGTCTCCACCCAAATCGCATGTTGAATGTTGCAGGTGGGGCCTAGTGGAAGGTGATTGCATCATGGGGGCAGTTTCTAATGGTTTAGTGCCATCCTCCCAGTGTTGTTCTCATAATAGAGTTCTCACAAGATCTGATTGTTTACAAGGCTGTAGCACCTCTTTTCGCCCTCTCTTTCACCTGCTCCAGCTATGGTGTGAAGCACTGGTTCCCCTTTCACCTTCCTGTCATGATTGTAAGTTTTCTGAGGCCTCCCTAGAAGCTGAACAGATGCTGCCATGCTTTCTGAACAGCCTGTAGAACCATGAGCCAATTTAACCTCTTTTCTTTATAAATTATTCAGTCTCAAGTATTTTTTATAGCAATGTAAGAATGGACTAATACACCCTATTTCTACAAAGAATAATAAAACAGAATTATCTGGGTGTGGTGGTGCATGCCTCTAGTTCTAACTACTGCACTCCAGCCTGGGTGACAGAGCAAAGCCCTGTCTCTAAAAAACAAACAAAAACCAAAAAAGGTGGTGGGGGAAATACTACCTAAATTATAAAAAATTAATAGCATCATCTACATATAGACTCAAAATTCTTGGAAAAACTCACCAATGGCTTGTTCATTTTTTCATGCAGTGTAGTGAGGTTTGAGATACCCTTACTTCTTTTTTTAGTCTCTTAGCATTTCCTAGAATTTTAATGCATGTGCTAAGCCTAGGAATTTTCTTTTCAGTTATTCTCATTTGAGTCCCAGTCCTTCTCTCTTTTGGCACTGGCCCCAGATCATTGTTTCCCTTTCCTTGCCAAAGGTTACCCATTACTGCTTACTTTCTGTGCCAATTCTACAACTGAAATATTCTTGTTCACAAAAGCTCTAAGTCACCAGAGGGTAGGCCTTAACTCATTTCAATGGCAATTTCCATCATATTTCTGATGTTCTCATATCCTTTTGTATTTGGAGCAGAGACTATAAGTGCTTCAACATACCATTTTAGAGTATAGTCACAAATCCATCTAACTACATATCGTTTTAGAGATTAGTACTATGTTTTGGTAGAGTTTCAGAAGAAAAAACCACAGCTGACATTAAGATTGGCAAAGCTTTGAACAATACAGCTATAAATAATTCTTTCAAGGGTGTCCTCTGTTATGAGGATAACACCTTCACAGCCTATCTGTATGTCATTCTCTCCAAAGTGGTTTCATACTTTGGTAAGCATCTTTCTCTTTCCCTTTTGACGTCTCCAGGCACTCAGTTGCAACACATAGAAGGCCATGTTTTGAAGAATGAAAGCAATTTTCGGCCCAGAATTCTGGCTTGCTTTCCCTATCATTTTCTCTTAGAATTGAGTAATCTTTGAATTGTTCCAGAAAATATGAAAATGAACACTGTCAGTGTGGGACCCTGTTCAACACACTTAAAGATTTTGAATCACAATCTTGCTCATGTTTGGGTTTTGCATGCAATTTACATCAGACTAGAAAGATGTACGTAATAAGGATGGCAATGGCCTTCCTATTTGATAACAATAAAAACAATAATTGTTTTTTTATTTTTCCTAAAGTGAAAATTCTTTAAGCCAATTGATGGAACTAGGGATTATTGGTATTATTAAGGTATTATAAAGGGAGTGTTGATACAAACCTAATCTTTTAAGTAAAATATTGCTTCAGTGGATTGAACTGGAGATTATTGGTTATACAAAGGGCACAATAAGGCTGTGTGTCTCTGTTACAAGCCTAAATCTTTTTAATAAAGTATTTTAGACCACCATGTTTTCACATTTGCTTTTGAATAGGTAATGGCTACCATTATGCTCTTTCATGATAAATTTTCAGAGTGATCCCTAAAGGCCATTGCATTAAAATATGAGAGTGAGTGGGAGTGATCTGTACCCTTGACTCTTATTTTTATTAGCATTAGATGATTCCTCTTAATACTTTCCACTTGAGTGGCCATTATAAAATTATAACTTTTCGGATGGAAATTTTTTAAATCACAGAAAAAAGAAATGGAGTGTACAAAAGTGGAAACTACTCATGCAGGAAGTGCCTTTCTTGCCTGGGGAATGCTATAATTTTCTGGGAAATATTGTCATAAAACACTTGATATTTTTAGAATGCTTTTACCATCAAAAACCTGCTACATTTTAACACCGCCTCGCTCCTCTTTTATTGCAAAAAGAAAATTCCAAGTTTCATATGTTTTAAATAAATGATTACCTTCATGCTCTCCTTTTCTTGCTTCCCATTCTCTGAGTTTGTTATTACTTGGGTCTTTCCTTGGCTTTTTGTGGAGAATAAGGTTGTGCCTGGCATACATCAAACATCGACAGCAAGTGCATTAAGTCTTGGATGTGAATGGCGTCATTTCAGCTGATGATGTCAGCCTAATGAGCACATATCCTGACTTTTGAACTTTATTAAAGCATTCCAAATTTATGTCTTTCATATATATATGAAAAAAATGTGATTTTTAAAAATATGAATAATCAGTCTTTAAAATAGCGGGCCTTCTAAACACAGAGAAAAATTAGTGTGATCACTACTCTCACAAATTTTATTTTAAAATAAAATGATAACAAGGACAAGAACAAACAGGGACTTTCTGATTCTGAGAATGGAAACCCACATACAAGCCCTCTAGGGACAGTGTACGCAGATAAAAACAGTGAGAGTGGAATTTTCCTGAGTTTTATTTCTATAAATAATTAACCGAATATACTTATATAAATAAATACTTCCCTCTGGGAATTTCAGCATCATTTGAAATTTCTGAATACTAATTTTGGTTTTAGCCTCTACTCCCTATTCTCATTTTTGGCATATTTCTCTCTCCTTGTCTTTTAAGGAGAAATCTTCCATTTTCTGAAAGAAATAAAAGAGAAATTGCATAATAGTCAAAACTAATGTTTGTTATTAAGAGCAAAATGGAATTACTATAAAGGGAGGCATGACAAAGAGTCAGGGAAAAATAACTTTACCACTGAAAATCCACAAACCTCTGGGGTTACAATTCCTAGGGAATCCCTCTGTTTCATTTTAATCTTGGGCCTTTATTCCATCACACTTTTCTTAATAAAGGAATATCACTAAACTACTAGAAGTAGCTTTTATATCAGTCATATTCTCTTCATTTTTCAATTAGTTACTGTTTTTGTAATATTGTAGAGAAAACCATGGGAGTTAGCCTATACTTCAACCATCAAGAAGTCAAAGAAAAGTCCAGCACTTTGGGTGGCCGAGGTGGGCGGATCACGAGGTCAGGAGATTGAGATCAGTCTGGCTAACCTGGTGAAACCCCATCTCTAGTAAAAATACAAAAAATTAGCCGAGCGTAGTGGCGGGAGCCTATAATCCCAGCTACTCCGAAGCCTGAGGCAGGAGAATCACTTGAACCCGGGAGGCGGAGGTTGCAGTGAGCCGAGATCGCGCCACTGCACTCCAGCCTGGGCGACAGAGTGAGACTCCGTCCAGAGTGAGACTCCGTCTAAAAAAATAAAAAAAGAAGTCAAAGAAGACAAGTGTTCTATTCTCTTATTTCTGAAGTCATGATAGCCTCCTTTTTCACCCTATTATGATTTGACACGAAAGAAAAACAGATGAAAGACTGTTAAACACTTACTTCCATAAATAAGGCATTTAGCTAGTACTAGGAATAAAAGCAAAATAAGCAAGAAGACTACATTGTTTTGGCAGTAAGTCATCTAAAATAGCTGAGAGAGTCATAGAAACTGGAATATATAATTCACAAAGGTTTGCTAAGTGTATGAGCAGCGGATTTCCACTTATCGGAACTCTGTAAATCATGTGTTCCCTAAAATTGTTTAAATCCGTTTCATAACTTCATTAAGGGAGCTCTTTGTAAAAGGAGTTCTGTGTAAATTCTTTTGGATTGTGAGTAATCACTTCTTCATTGATCTGTTCTGGAAGTCAGAATTGAGTTAGTCATATTTTCTTAAATCATAGGATTACCCACGTCGTAAAAAAGCTACATTTCTCAGAAGATCCCCCTGAACTACTATGGGGCCTAGGGTGGGAGTGGAGGTAGATTGGTGGGAAGTAATGTCTAGTGAGATAGCTGACTCTTGCTTGTTCAGACCCGTTGAGAGGTGAAGCCAGTTGGACTTCCTGGGTGGAGTGGAGACTGGAGAACTTTTCTGTCTTATAAGAGGATTGTAAAATGCACCGATCAGCGCTCTGTAAAAACGGCACCAATCAGCAGGATTCTAAAAGTAACCAATCACCGGGAGGATTGAGAAAAGGGCATTCTGATAGGACAGAAATAGGACATGGGAGGGGACAAATAAGGGAATAAAAGCTGGCCACTCCAGTCAGCAGCGCCAACCTGCTTGGGTCCCCTTCCATGCTGTAGAAGCTTTGTTCTTTCACTCTTCACAATAAACCTTGCTACCACTAACTCTCTTTGGGTCTGTGCCATCTTTAAGAGTTGTAACACTCACAGCAAAGGTCCGCGGCTCTATTTTTGAAGTTAGTGAGAACACGAACCCACCGGAAGGAACCAACTCCGGACACACTGTGATCTGGGGAGAATGACCTCATGGACTTATTAAAGACTTCCTCACCTTCTGGCTTCTTATTAATACTGATGGAAGATCTCCAGGTGGGAGGAGAGAATGAGTGTTCATTTTGCTGGGACCCTCCCTTTTGGGCTGCTGTATGTTGCCCATGTCCCTCTACCACGGGTCATGGCTCCTGTCAGGCTGTGTTCCCTTACAACCATCCTTGTGTGATTGCCCCTTCAGTCCTAGATATAACCATGCTACTGTCATTAGCCCTGAGTACCACTCTTTCCCTCGATGGTTTCCTAAAACTCTGCCTTCGCTCATAGTTCTTTATCAAACTCTTCTCAACTGTTTGAGTGAGCCATCTTACTTCTTGACCATGTAGAAGGTTTTATGATGTGGAAAATAGTAGATTAATTTTTTTTTTTTCGGTGTTGAAGTCTTAATTTCGGCAATTTTGTTTTTTATTTCTACAATTTATGTTTGACATTTTTTCATATCAAGGTCATTTTTTCTTTTATTTTTTATTTTATTTTTATTTTTATTTTTATTTTTTTTTTTTATTGATCATTCTTGGGTGTTTCTCGCAGAGGGGGATTTGGCAGGGTCATAGGACAATAGTGGAGGGAAGGTCAGCAGATAAACAAGTGAACAAAGGTCTCTGGTTTTCCTAGGCAGAGGACCCTGCGGCCTTCCGCAGTGTTTGTGTCTCTGGGTACTTAAGATTAGGGAGTGGTGATGACTCTTAACGAGCATGCTGCCTTCAAGCATCTGTTTAACAAAGCACATCTTGCACCGCCCTTAATCCATTTAACCCTGAGTGGACACAGCACATGTTTCAGAGAGCACAGGGTTGGGGATAAGGTCACAGATCAACAGGATCCCAAGGCAGAAGAATTTTTCTTAGTACAGAACAAAATGAAAAGTCTCCCATGTCTACGTCTATCCACACAGACACGGCAACCATCCGATTTCTCAATTTTTTCCCCACCCTTCCCGCCTTTCTATTCCACAAAACCGCCATTGTCATCATGGCCCATCCCCAATGAGCCGCTGGGCACAACTCCCAGACGGGGTCGTGGCCGGGCAGAGGGGCTCCTCACTTCCCAGTAGGGGCGGCGGGGCAGAAGCGCCCCTCACCTCCCGGATGGGGCGGCTGGCCGGGCGGGGGGCTGACCCCCCCACCACCCTCCTGGACGGGGCGGCTGGCCGGGCAGAGGGGTCCTCACTTCCCAGTAGGGGCGGCCGGGCAGAGGCGCCCCTCACCTCCCGGACGGGGCGGCCGGCCGGGCGGGGGGCTGACCCCCCCACCTCCCTCCCGGACAGGGCGGCTGGCCGACACCCCCCCCCCGCCTCCCTCCCGGACGGGGCGGCTGGCGGGGCAGAGGGGCTCCTCACTTCCCAGTAGGGGCGGCCGGGCAGAGGCGCCCCTCACCTCCCGGACGGGGCGGCTGGCCAGGCGGGGGCTGATCCCCCCACCTCCCTCCCGGACGGGGCGGCTGGCCGGGCGGGGGGCTGACCCCCCACCTCCCTCCCGGACTGGGCGGCTGGCCGGGCGGGGGCTGACCCCCCCACCTCCCTCCCGGACGGGGCGGCTGGCCGGGCAGAGGGGTCCTCACTTCCCAGTAGGGGCGGCCGGGCAGAGGCGCCCCTCACCTCCCGGACGGGGCGGCTGGCCAGGCGGGGGGCTGATCCCCCCACCTCCCTCCCAGACGGGGCGGCTGGCCGGGCTGGGGGCTGACCCCCCACCTCCCTCCCGGACTGGGCGGCTGGCCGGGTGGGGGCTGACCCCCCCACCTCCCTCCCGGACGGGGCGGCTGGCCGGGCAGAGGGGCTCCTCACTTCCCAGTAGGGGCGGCCGGGCAGAGGCGCCCCTCACCTCCTGGATAGGGCGGCTGGCCGGGCGGGGGGCTGACCCCCCCACCTCCCTCCCAGACGGGGCGGCTGGCCGGGCGGGGGGCTGACCCCCCCACCTCCCTCCCGGACGGGGCGGCTGGCCGGGCAGAGGGGTCCTCACTTCCCAGTAGGGGCGGCCGGGCAGAGGCGCCCCTCACCTCCCGGACGGGGCGGCCGGCCGGGCGGGGGGCTGACCCCCACACCTCCCTCCCGGACAGGGCAGCTGGCCGACCCCCCCCCGCCTCCCTCCCGGACAGGGCGGCTGGCCGGGCAGAGGGGCTCCTCACTTCCCAGTAGGGGCGGCCGGGCAGAGGCGCCCCTCACCTCCCGGACGGGGCGGCTGGCCAGGCGGGGGCTGATCCCCCCACCTCCCTCCCGGACGGGGCGGCTGGCCGGGCGGGGGGCTGACCCCCCACCTCCCTCCCGGACTGGGCGGCTGGCCGGGCGGGGGGCTGACCCCCCCACCTCCCTCCCGGACGGGGCGGCTGGCCGGGCAGAGGGGTCCTCACTTCCCAGTAGGGGCGGCCGGGCAGAGGCACCCCTCACCTCCCGGACGGGGCGGCCGGCCGGGCGGGGGGCTGACCCCCCCACCTCCCTCCCGGACGGGGCTGCTGGCCGGGCGGGGGGCTGACCCCCCCACCTCCCTCCTGGATGGGGCGACTGGCCGGGCAGAGGGGCTCCTCACTTCCCAGTAGGGGCGGCCGGGCAGAGGAGCCCCTCACCTCCTGGACGGGGCGGCTGGCCGGGCGGGGGGCTGACCCCCCCCACCTCCCTCCCGGACGGGGTGGCTGCCGGGCGGAGACGCTCCTCACTTCCCAGACGGGGTGGCTGCCGGACGGAGGGGCTCCTCACTTCTCAGACGGGGCGGTTGCCAGGCAGAGGGTTTCCTCACTTCTCAGACGGGGTGGCCGGGCAGAGACGCTCCTCACCTCCCAGACAGGGTTGCGGCCCAGCAGAGGCGCTCCTCACATCCCAGACAGGGCGGCGGGGCAGAGGTGCTCCCCACATCTCAGACGATGGGCGGCCGGGCAGAGACGCTCCTCACTTCCTAGATGGGATGGCGGCGGGGAAGAGGCGCTCCTCGCTTCCTAGATGGGATGGCGGCCGGGCAGAGACGCTCCTCACTTTCCAGACTGGGCAGCCAGGCAGAGAGGCTCCTCATATCCCAGACGTTGGGGGGCCAGGCAGAGACTCTCCTCACTTCCCAGACGGGGTGGCGGCTGGGCAGAGGCTGCAATCTCGGCACTTTGGGGGGCCAAGGCAGGCGGCTGGGAGGTGGAGGTTGTAGCGAGCCGAGATCACGCCACTGCACTCCAGCCTGGGCACCATTGAGCACTGAGTGAACGAGACTCCGTCTGCAATCCCGGCACCTCGGGAGGCCGAGGCTGGCGGATCACTCGTTGTTAGGAGCTGGAGACCAGCCCGGCCAACACAGCAAAACCCCGTCTCCACCAAAAAAAAACGAAAACCAGTCAGGCGTGGCGGCGCGCGCCTGCAATCGCAGGCACTCGGCAAGCTGAGGCAGGAGAATCAGGCAGGGAGGTTGCAGTGAGCCGAGATGGCAGCAGTACCGTCCAGCTTTGGCTCGGCATCAGAGGGAGACCGTGGAGGGAGAGGGAGAGGGGGAGGGGGAGGGGGAGGGGGAGGGAGAGGGAGAGGGAGAGGGAGAGGGAGAGGGAGAGGGAGAGGGAGAGGGAGAGGGAGAGGGAGAGGATTAATTTTCAATAAAGACTCCAAATAAAGATAATTTCCCCTAAAAAAGGATTCTGCCTTCCACGCTTATCTTCAGCCCACCTATCCTCTCAATTGTCTTGGGCTGCAGGAGAAAATGCACTTGCCAGAACTAAAGAATATTGATCCCTTTCTACAAACTAAGACGTGATAGAAAAGTTGAAGAGGTACCTTTCCTGAGAATTTCTCAGAGCCTTGGTTACATTAAAGTGTCTTCAAGAATAGGCATGAGATACAGATTCCAAAACCTGAAATATATGGAAGAGAACTGGATACCGGAAGGGACTATTCTCATAACTTTATTGATAATTACACATGTTAATTTTATTTATTTGTTCATTAATTTATGTATTTATTTAAAAATATTTGAGGGGTTATCTGTGTTTCAGGTACTTCGATAGGTATTAGGCATAAAACTGTCACATAGTAGCATCTCTATTATTAAGGAGTGTATATAGCTTTGTAAATAGGGGCCACTGACTAGTATCAAAACACACCATGTACTCATTATAGCTTGTTAAAGGTCCTTCTCAATCTTTGTATCATCTTAATATAACATGAAGTTAAAATAAACTAACACTTTAGAGTTATTGGTATATACATGTAACTGAATATGATGGACTCTACCATCACTATTATTAACCAATTCTGGTGCTTCCCTTACCAAGTTAGGTCAGAGTGTCAAAGAGTGTGTATTAGTCTATTCTCGTACTGTTATAAAGAACTGCTCAAGACTGGGTAATTTATAAAGAAAAGAGGTTTAACTGACTCACAGTTCCTCATGGCTGGAGAGGCCTCAGGAAACTTACAGTCATGGCCAAAAGGGAAGCAGGCATGTCTTACATGGCAGCAGTTGAAAAAGAGAGAGAGAAAGGGAGAGAAACACACACATACACACACACATACACACACACACACACACACACACACAGAGAGAGAGAGAGGGAGAGAGACAGACAGTGAGAGACAGTGTGTGGAGGAACTGTCAAAACTTGTAAAACCATTACATCTCGTGAGAACTCACTCACTATCATGAGAACAGCATAGGGAAAACCACCTGCATGATCCAACCCAAATCTCCCACCACGTCCCTCCCTCGACACATGGGGATTAGGGGATTACAATGTGAGATGAGATTTGGGTGAGTACACGGGGCCAAACCATATCAGAGTGTATTATGTGTTAAAGGGCAGTCTCACATTTATAGTGGGGATCTGTGCTTTGTGTAGAGGCTGGTGTGGACACCTCTATTCATTGCTCCAGCAAATACTGACCACTGAGTACATATGTGTCTCCATAGCGAATGTGCAGAGTCACACATTTGGGTGCTCATTCTCTAAGAGTCTTCAGTTTTGTAATCTAGCCACACAATAAATTGTATTTAAGTAAAAAACTGCCACAGTTATTTTCATATTTTTAAAATGCAGAAATGTTTTCTTCCATTTTTGGTCTCTATAAATATAAAAGGTAAATGAAACTGGACATAAATCTAGTCTTCCAAATTTCCCAGCACAAACACCAAGTGTAAAGAGTTTGAGCTGTAGTAATCCATACAGTTTTCTCTTTTCTTTAGGCATCTTGGAGCAATATCAGCATTGATTGTCCTGAAATCTCACCTTGTCTCCCAGAAACAAATAGACTGTACTACAGCTAGTTTTGAAGACATTATAGAATCTCGCTAGATCCAAAATAATAAAGATAGAAAATAGGTTAAAAATATTTATGGGGTTGTAACATTTTAGATGTTTCTTTTTTCAACTCTAGTAATGTGTATAGCCACTTTCTAGCTCCTCTTCTTTTTCACACTGATTTAACCCCTCCTGTGAGATGCAAGCTGTTGATAGAGAAGGTAAGATTAAAACTCTGTAGTGGTACAGGAATTTAACTTTATCCTTGGAGGCTTCCTTGCTTTAGTTACGGTAGGTAAAATTGCTTTTTTCCTTAAAGCAAAGCAATAATATATTCTACAAATATTGGCTGCTGTGTCTTAAAAATACATATTTTAATACATTCAAAGAGAATTTTCTGTGCTTTTTTGAGGACATAACCAAATGATACAGAATTTCTTACATTGCCAATTTAACTCTCTGTACTGCTCTCATGGTAAAAAATGAAACTGGGCAACATAATTCAAACATGGTATATGGGGCAGGGGTAGGGGGTTGGGGGTATGAAGGGTCAGGGTCCAAAGAAGCAATTGGAAAATAGTTATTTCTACCAGTTGCTTTTAGAAAGTCTATTTTCCACTTACACCTACTTGCTTTGCCACTGCTGTACCTTTGTTATGCTACCAATTACGGGTACAAAACCTATCTAGGCTTCAAGAACTGGTTTATTGCTTTCTTAAAAAAGTATTTCATGCTTTTTACGTTATGTTATGTCTAATTGTGTTCTTTTTATTCTCTTACATTAAACTATGAGTTTCCTGAGGACAGGTTATCCCTCTGGTTCACATTTGCATCCATAAAAACATGTAACAGAGTAAGTAACATGGTAGATGCTCAAATGACTTTGGCCAAACTAATGAATATATAAATGTGTGCTAGGCTGCATTGTAGATTGTTCTGATTTATTTAATAAAAGGATTAAAGTATTATTTAAATCAGATAATGACTTAAAAATTCCATTTAATCCTAAACAAGAATTACACCTACCCATTATTGACAAGAAAGATTGACATAGATAATAAAAACTTTTCTGAAGGACAGAAGAATACCAAATTCTATGTACTGCTCCCTTATACAAAAGTATTTGAAAAGAAAGAGCATGACAAATTAAATCTTCACTAACAGATTTCAATGTTTAGTCTATAGATTATATAAGCTCTTTGCCTTTCATTTCCTTCCTTCCTCCCTCCCTATAGATTATATAAGCTCTTTGCCTTTCATTTCCTTCCTCCCTCCCTTCCTTCTTCCTTCCTTCCTTTCTTCTTTCCTTCCTTCCTCCCCTTCCTTCCTTCCTTCTTTACTTCCTTCCTTCCCCCTTCCTTCCTTCCTCCCCTTCCTTCCTTCCATCCTCCCCTTCCTTCCTTCCTTCTTTCCTTCATTCCTTCTTCTTTCTTTCCTTCCTTCCTCCCCTTCCTTCCTTCCTCCCTCCCTCCCTCCCCTTCCTTCCTTCCTCCCCTTCCTTCCTTCCTTCCTCCCTCCCTCCCTTCTTCTCCTTCCTTCCTCTCCTTCCTTCCTCCCTCCCTCCCTCCTTCCTTCCTTCCTTCCTTCTTTCCTTCCTCCCTCCCTCCCTCCCTTCTTCTTGCTCCTTCCTTCCTTCCTTCCCTCCTTCTTTCTTTCCTTCCTTTTCTGCAGTGCACCATCTTGGCTCACTGCAACCTTCACCTCCACGGCTCAAGCAATCTTCCCACCTCAGCACCCCAGTAGCTGGTTCTACAGGCATGCACCAAGACACCTGGCTAATTTTTGTATTTTTAGTAGAGAAGGAGTTTTGCAGTGTTGGCCAGGTTGGTCTCAAACTCCTGAGCTCAAGCAATCCTCCCATCTTAGCCTCCCAAAGTGTTGGGATTACAGGCATGAGCCACTGTAACTGGCCCCCTTCCTTCTTTGAGGTACTCTATCTACTTTTTACCATTTAATCATTAGCTGAAACAAATCAGATATTTCTTTTTCTTGTCAGAAGCCTTTATGAAATATTCAACACAAGAATAAAATGTTGAATTACATAAACAGGGATTTAATGTATTTCTATTCCTTCTAGTATAATAGATCTTTGTAAGTACTATGGAAAAATAATTAGGTATTTTGCCAAAGAAAAAGACCCACACAACTGGAATAAATATAAAAATTACAATTCTGAAACACTTCTGGATCAGAAAACCATAAGATCTATAACTGAATATTATCACCTTGGTCAAGTCATTTATCTTCTCTGAGTCTTTCCTCTTAAATGTGAAATAATGATGGCTGAGTAACTTACAAGGTTTTGTTGAATATTTTCCCATTTTTAATTCCGAAATGAAGAGAAATTATTTAAAAATTATCTTTTGTATAACTCCTTCCATGCATCATTTTATACTCCCCTAAAGTGGATAAGGCAGGTACTATTAACTTCTTTGATAGGGAGGGAAATTAGGGGTCAGAAAGAATTTTTGAATCATTTACTCAGGGGCACATATCCACTTAATGGGACTCAAAACTAGAACACGTGAAAATTTAGTCCTTGTCCTGTGCTTTTCCTGTGTTAGCAATCTGCTTCTCCAAAAGCCAGACATTACATATGCATAAAAGCTCATAGGCACACACGTATGCAGAACCTCTTTTCTACTTTATATACACAATGAGCTTGTGTTGATATTGACATCAGTAAGCATACAGCTCCCTGGGTCAATGACTCTACATTGAAGAAAGTTGGAAGTATTTCAATTATTGGTTTTATGCCAATGTATAACCCAAACACTCACATGAGGGCAATTATTTAAGTAGCTGCAACAGATCCAAGACGATGCATCTTCCCTTCTCTAGACTCCTTATATTCCCAACATGTAGTTTCTACTGCACATATTGGCACATGGAAATTGATTTGTAATAAAATATGTCATAATTTTTTCTAGGGTTATGCTATTTACAATTTCCTACATAAGTTGGAACTAATAGCCCTTGCAACATTCTTGCTGTATAATTTTTAACATACTGTCTTAAATCCAAGGATGTATAAATAATTACTCTTGCTACTGTACTAGAACACTGCAGTTACACAAGTAAAGTTTTAATAGAAATATTTGAATGTAATATTCATGCTTATAACCTTGATATAAAGAGTTTCGCTATCTTTCCCTTCTCCCCTGGAAGAGGAGATGATATAATCATATGACAATGAAAACAATGAAAAGGAAGAAATTATGTTTTTAAAAATACCTTGTTTTGTTCAAATAATAATATAAGGCTACTTATATCAAATTATAAAATACATAAAAATGCAATGTTTTTAAGTTTAACTTTTATTTTAAGTTCAGGGGTACATGTGCAGGTTTGTTTTACAGGTAAACTCATGCCACGGGGGTTTGTTGCACAGATTATTTTGTCACCCAGGTACTATATCTGGTAACCATTAGTTATTTTTTCTTGATCCGATCCTCTCCCTCCTCCCACTCTCTATCCTCTGACAGTTCCCGGTGTCTGTTGTTCCCCTCTATGTGTCCATGTGTTCTTATCATTTAATTCCCACAAAATGCAAAAATTTCAAAGTAGTTGGAAGGTCTCAATGGCCAATTAAAAAAAACAAAAAAGCCAAAAACCTACTCAACTAGACTTTTTCTAATAGAAACAGTACTCTATTAGACAAACTCATGGGAAAACATAAATCATTATTTCTGACTAAGAGAGGAAGGATTACTGTTTATAAAGCAGTTATTTTGGGGATTGTTTATCAAAAGCAATAAAATTAATTTCATATTAATAACTCATAACTATAATTAGAAACACAGCTCATTAAATATTATGTCCAGGCCCACTTCCCTCTTTCTGAAGAACTAAATTAACATCACAGTAAATAAAATGATAAAAAGTAACATCTGGGTATAAAAGAATATTTGTCTTTATGCTGGGATGATTCATATTCAACTCATCTTAAAAATGTACTGAGCAATTAAGAAAAACTTAAAGAGTGAGTGAGGAGGTGCTGGTCTAGAACCAGGACTTACGGAAATCATCAAATCATTAGCAAGATGCTAAGTCCAGGCTCTTAAGAGCAGTGATGATTAGCGTTCTATGTCAAGTTCATGTAGCTTTGCCAAGCAGTGCCAGTTAACATCCAAAGACTGAGAACTTTCAAACAATCATTTCATTACTCTTAGATTTTGCTGTAAGTTTGAAATCTACAGTGGAATAGATATGCCTAAAGTCTACTTAATTTACATGTAAAAGATTGATTTGAAAAGTCCATTTTGGTACTTTGGACAAATATTTTAATACCCTTATCTACCTGTCATTTGAGATATAAAAAATAGTGTTTCTTTGAAAAAGAATGTTATAGCTGAAACCATAATACTGAGCACGAAGTACTATACTGGTAAAAATTACAAAGATGAATAAATGAGTAATCACCAGAGCCATTATAAGTGGTCCTCGAATAGATCTATGTGCAGGACATCTTTCCTGAATGCCTTATTCAGGTTTTGATCATTGTGAAGGACTGTTTCCAGAACTGAATCAGAACAGCCTGAAAATCTGCAAAATCAAGTCAAGAACATTGACCTATAATACTGCTAATCTTCTCAGGTACAGCAGATTAAATCTCTACAACTTCTGTCTCCAGGTTCAAAGGGTAGAAAACAATGATCCAGATTATGCAAAAAAATGCTAACTAAATTATAGTCAACAGATATTTGTGCACTCTGACAAATGAACTTGTGGTTCTCCATTTACTCTTCCATGATCAACAGTTAAACAAAATAGTTTTGAGAAGGATAAGTTTTTTAATATGGACTTGTCCTCCACTGTAGCAGAGTTAAATATCCTGGGGACACAAGAAAGGTAAGATTGAGATGACACATTTTAGACCTGGAATTAGCATCTATAAGTCCCATCAAGTAGAAAAATCCTCAATTTACACATTCTGTGCAGTATTTCTTAAATGGCTATTCAAGTACGTACCCTTAAAAAAAAAAAAGTGAAGAGGAACAAAACCCCAAACACTTCTTTAGATGGGCTTCTGACTGTGCATTGTGAAACTGCACTTTGAAAAAAGCTAGCAAGTTACACTCCCACCAACAGCATACAAAAGTGACTTTATTTTGAAAATTTTCTCTTATCTCCTGAAAGATTCCACTGGGTGCCTATTCTTCTTTAATACTTTTGTTTAGTGCTTTATAAATTTACTTTTAACTAGGAAGGCAAAATACACTACAGATGGTAGTAGTTGTCAGAGTAAGAGCAAGTGATAAAGTTATATCTGACAGCTCTTCTTGGCACAGCAAATGTCTGGAACTGTGAATAACTGAATTCCTGAATCTGGAAGGTGTCTGTGCTGAAGAAATGGGCAATTGCACTAGTGAATTAAGATTGTTGTCTGAATTGCAGAGAAAATTATATGAAACGTTGTTCCTGAAATTAATTTCAGGAGCCATTGACAACTTATAGGTTAAAACAAATTTAACTCTGATAAAAATTTACAGACATTAGAAAGAACAAAACTGCAGCAAATGCAAACATTTAATACAAAGCATAGATAGTTGGTATGACTTTGAAATCTTTGCTAGATCAAAGAGTTGAGTTTTAATACAATGAAACTATCCTAATACACACAAGGAGCCTTAATATTTCAATGATACAAATTGGGGAGGAGTAGAAATAAAGTGGATATGAAGAAAGTTGTGAAATAATTACACAGCAGAAAATAAGTAGTTCTTGTATATTATTTCTTATTAAAGACAGTTTCATTTTGTCAGGAATTATAGCCATGATATTTTTAAAGTGATTTGCAAAGACTACATTTTAGTAATAGCAAATTGGGTTTCATTTTTGCTTTTAAAAGGACCTTGTAATGTTGAGCAATTTCGTCATGCTTTGAGAAGGGTCAATAATCATTCCAGTTTCTAAACAATCTGCAGCATTTACTAATAACCTATCATGTGACAAGCATTGTGGCCAAACATTTTCCTGAACATAAATTAGGTGCTAAACTAACAACTCAAGTAATTCATAAGGAGGTTTAAAATGTGACAGAGACACAAACTGGAAGCTGGTATAATTTTAGTTTCTATAAAAGTATAGGAAGACTTTACTACTATAAAGAAAGTAATGGAATAATCAGCCATTAAGAAAATGTGATCCCTTATTTGGAAAATATTTTCACAAAAATAAAAAAGGCCAACTTTATTAGGTTAGAAGGAAAGAAAGGACTCACTCACAGGCAGCAAGTACAGGTAGAGAAATCCAGGGACACCTCGTATCAGTCACAGAAAGTGTTTAGAACCAGTGTTCCTCTCATTGTTTCATTTCCTCCCAATAGAGAATCTGCAATGTCCCTCTCCCTTTCCCATATGTGAATGATTCAGATCCTTTTTGGAAACTAAAACAAAGGAAAAGAAAAAGAGGAAAAAATGGAAAGAATAAAGGAAGGGAGGGAAGGAGGGAAGAAAGAAGGGAGAGAGGAAGGGATGGAGGGAGGGAGGCAGGCAGGAAGGAAACAAGGAAGGAAGGAAGAAAAGAAGGAAGGAAGGAAGGAAAGAAGGAAGGAAGGAAAGAAGGAAGGAAGGAAGGAAGGAAGGAAGGAAGGAAGGAAGGAGGGAGGGAGGGAAGGAAGGAAGCGAGGAAGGAAATTTTTCTAGAAATCATGTAAGTTTTTCTACCACTGTAGAGAAAAATACTGTTGCATCTTACAGATGAACAACCATGATAAACCACCCTAACTTCTTAAAAATTAAGAAATTAAACTATTCGACTGAACTCCAAATTTACCACTTATATTTTAATGCCTTTGAATAAGCGTTACTCTAGATCATCACAGTTTAGTAGAAATTTCCATGGTGATGGTAATCTGCACTATCAAATATAACTATTCACATGGACCTACTGAGTGTTTGAAATGTGATGAGTTCAGCTGAGGAAATACATTTTTAATCTTATTAAATTTCTATTTCAATAGCCATATGTGTCTAGTGTCTATATTAGACAGCACAGTTCTGGACTGTAAATACTCTGAAGGCAGAGCCTATGTATTAGGTTGGTGCAAAGTAATTGCAGTTTTTGCCATTACTTTCAACATATGAAATATAAGACTTAATCTATGACTGAGTCTTATAAAAGAAGGAACTCATTATAAAAGTTCAAAAATTTAACTGCAATCTTTTGCCCTTTAAAATCAGTTATCTTTTCATATCTTTTAAATGTCTTTTTGTCCAAGAAAACATCAATGAAAATTTAGATGGCTCTTACCTTGAATATTTAAGAAAATAGAATATATCCCAATCATTGTATCAATTGACATAACATAAATATTTTTAAGTCACCGTGAAGTTGATTAAGAAAGAGGCCACAAGTGTTTCTCCTTGAAAGCTGTAGGCTGTGTTTGCTCTCTAGCTTTTTTGGTCTTGAGGTCAACAGTAGAACTGGAGTCAAGTTCTATTGATACTTTGTTAATGTGTGATGTGTAACCTAGGATTCTGAGTTCTGTTTTGCCACACTGCCTCTATAGATGCCACAGTGATGAGTTTTCATATATCTAAGGCTCAGATCCTTTGTCATCTATGAATTGCTAACGGGGTTTTAGTACAAAGGGTCTGTCGTAAGACATCTTACAAGATATTCTTTTAGGTGGCACAAAAGAAATAAAACAACATTGGCTTCTATTACAAGCCTAGGTTTAGCCTATATTTGAATGAAAAATGTGTCATTTTCGTTTAAGAAAACAGAGTATAATTATATTTTAAAGCTTCTTTCTATTTACTGCAAATTGTTACTTGGGTCACAATCACAACACTAAAAAAAACTCTAAGGAAGAAATTTTACTTCTCCTCTGGAAACCCCAGTTATTTTACTCTCAGTCATGATAGGCCATTAACAATATCGAGTATTATATGGGGTATTAAAACGCACCATCAATAGATAAAGTGATTGAGTTAAAACTGAACAATAAGGTCTGTATTTACATACTTATATCTTAGCCTTCCACTTAGTCATAGTTTCATTATTTTTCATATTTCTTTAAAGAATTTCTATATTTCCATTTTGCAATAAAAGAATAGAGAAATGTTAGTACTGTTGAAATTAACTCACAAGACTGACTTATGCATGGAACTGCAAAGAATTATATGCTTGGTGTTGCCAAGTATCACGAATTGCAGAGAATAGGCTTGCAGACCTCTGGGTTATATGGTTCACTATGTTAGGGGTTAACTGGGCCAAATTTGGTGTCCTCTTGGGTGGTTATTTCCAAAATAAAATCTCAAGATTTGAAAACCTAGTGTACTGAAGGGTTCCAAACATGGGAAATGAGGGCATTGACATTAGGAGGTGGAATATTTAGAGCCCCATAGAATATGAGTAATAATAAACTAACAGGGGAGCACATGATCTATCCCAATTATTCACAGCTTCTGTATATGTGAATTTCCTACTTGCCAAAATTTATTTGTAAACCTATCCTAGTCTTTTTGGGCTTCTCTAACAAAATATCATAACTGGGTAGCTTATAAACAACAGAAGCTTATTTTTCACAGTTCTGGGGGTTGGAAATTCCAAGAAATTTGCCAGCAGATTCAGTGACTGGGGAGGTCCTGCTTCCTGGTTGACAGTGTAAACAGCTGAGGAATCATGAGGCTCATAAATTTGGAAAGGAGAGCTTTATATCTCATAAGGAGTTGTAGCCTGCTGGCTGGCCATCCCACAGGCTGGGAAATGTTGCCTCCGGAGTGCAAGCACTTCAAGGGAGGGGTAAAGGGAATAGGAATTTGTGGTAAGTGAGATGGCCAAATATACATACTGAAGTTACAGGAGGAGTCATGAATGTTTAAGAAAGAAAATACATATGTACATGCAGTGGCACCTCATGCTGCTTCAAAGGTTACATGTTCAAAAAATGGTGGCATCAGTGTGATCTGAGGGTGCAGTTTTTGGCTCTTTGATGTAAAAGGTGAAGTGGAGGACACAAAAACCCTCACTGTGCATCCTCTGTGAGTTGGCCAATGTCTGTCTGGAGATGGTGGTCAGTTTTTAAAATTTATTTTTTATTTTTTAGTTTTAAGGAGTGGAGCGTTTAATAGACAAGAAGGAAGGGAGAAGACAGAAGGAAGAAGCTACCCCGTACAGAGACAGAGGGAGGGGGCTCCAAAGCCGAAAGAGGAAACCCTGGTGGTCAGTTTTTAGGAAGGGATGTGATGTGAAATTGGTGAGCTATCGTGTCAAAACTGCAAAGAGGATGGGAGAGTTTGGTCAAGACCTCACATTATTGGCTAAAGGTGATAAAAGAATGAGTCATCTTTTTGTTTTCTGGAGTTGGTTTCTGTCTCTTCCTTAGGAGAAATTTCTGGTTAAAGGTTAACAAAGAGGCTGGGTGTGGTGGCTCATCTATGTAATCCCAGCACTTTGGGAGGCTGAGGTGGGTGGATCACGAGGTCAGGAGTTCAAGACCAGCCTGGCCAACATAGTGAAACCCCATCTCTACCAAAATACAAAAAAAAAAATTAGCCAGGCGTGGTGGTGGGCACCTGTAGTCCCATCTACTTGGGAGGCTGAGGCAGGAGAATCACTTGAACCTGGGAGGTGGAGGTTGCAGTGAGTTGAGATTGCACCACTGCACTCCAGCCTGGGCAACAGAGTAAGACTCCGTCTCAAAAAAAAAAAAAAAAAAAAAGGTTAATAAAGAAGGGATCCACTGAAGTGCGTCTGACCTCTCATACCATTATGGCTGAAAATTCAGTTTTTAGGGTGTCTCTGGGGTTCTCTTGGCCGAGAGAGTGTCCAGTTGATTAGAAGGGCTTAGGATTTTATTTTTATTTCCCAATAGGCAACCGTCTTCTTATTGTGACCTCCCATTGTGGAAGGGGGTAAGGGAGCTCTCTAGGATCTCTTTTATAAGGTCCCTAATCCCATTCATGAGGGTTCCACCCTCATGACCTAATCACTTCCCAAAGGCTCCACCTCCTAATACCATCACAGTTGGGGTTAGGATTTTAACATATGAATTTAGGGGAGAGGCATAAACATTCAGTCCATAGTGACGCCGGAATCAATACTTGTGCTTTCATAGTTATCGTGGACATGTACAGCAAAACATTTGAGGTGTCCTACGCACGTTTCCAGTTGAGGTTGAACAAGGCAATACTCTGCCTACTTGTTTCATACTGTAAACAAGTGTCTTTTTCATGGTCTGTTTCGTGCAACATTTCACACCTTTTTATGCTTTTTGTTGTTGATTTCACTGTTTAAAATTACCCCCAGGCTTAGGGCTGATGTGCTATCTAGTTCCAAAATACATGAAGGTTGTAACGTATCTTAGGAAGAAAATGCATATGTTAGATAAGCTTCATTCAGGCATGAATTATAGGGCTGTTGGCTGTGAGTTCAATGTTAATGAGTCATCAATATATATTAAATGAGGCATATCTAAATAGATTACACATATAAGACAAGGTTATGTATTGATCAGTAAATAGAATTGTTGTGACCAGAGGCTCTCAGGAACCTAACCCTAAATTTTCCCTAGAAGCAATGGTTCAATATTTGTAACAACTTTATGGAATGTAAATATTGTGAATAATGAAAATCAACTGTATGTATTGGAGAAATAGGGAATGTGAGAGATATTTAATTATTATTTTCCGGGAAATATTTATGCCCATAATGGGCTCTTGGCTCCAAGCTGAGCACTAGGACAGTAGAGACTGAAAAGTTTCTAAGACATGTTTTTGTGTTTCATTTTTTAAATTTAGATCCATGGGTTAGCTTTAGCAAATGCTCAAATTCCCTGAAATGGAAGATTTTATTGTGAATACATATACAGGTGCACATTTTTCTATGGAAAAGGGTTTAGAATTTCTATGAGTCCATGAGTCAAAAAATAATTAAGAATTACTGCTGTGAGATGTTGGCACGAGGCCCAGGACCATGCTACAATGTACAGAGCTTCACCTGATGAATTGCAGACTGGAGTTTGTCCTGTGGCAATGTCTCACAGGGCTTAGCAAGGACTTGGCTAACAGAGTGTGATGGGAGATGGAGCTTAGGTGGCCTGTGAGGCTCTCAGAGAAGAAAGATTAGGGAGTCTTTTACATCTAATGGCAAATAATAGCTGCTCAGTTATGAATTTAAAAACCTGGAGAAGACAGGCTCTAAAATCCTAGAGGATTATGTGGACTTTCGTCCTTCAGTTCTATGTTCATTTTACAAAAACTGGAGGCTCAGCAAAGCCTCAGTGTAAGAAATCATCTACAAACATTTAGTCTATAGTCATAAATGTGCATATTTTAATTTATAGTTAAGCTGAAACTCAAAGAAAAATCTCCTGGTGTAGGAATTCATAGTCATCAGCAATGTTTTGTGGGTGGTGACTGGTCGTACAGTGCCATCATCCTCTCCCGGGTCCACTTTCCCCATCCTTGGCCTTCTTGGCAAGAGTACTTTCCTAGGGCTGTGAATGTCCAGAAAGCCTATGTTTACTGGTGTGGTGAGGACATTAATAGTAATTAGGATTACAAGTGAGATAAAATGCCTGTAGGTGCCCAAAGAGAAAAGGCAAATCACGTGGTTTTGTAGGTCTCAGAAAGAACTGATCCTACAGCTGAAGGAAAGGCTCCTCTGTTCACTCATTGGCAGTCCTCTAGCTGTGCTCTTCATTTGTTCCTGTCTCAGGTCTTTACTATTAAATAACTAACAAATAACATTTGATTTTTACCTCACAACCCCCTTAGATACATTAAATGCATTAATCTTGTTGGACCAGTAGATTCTGTTTATCAGGCCACTGCCTTAGTACCTCAAATAATAACTTGTATTTGTAGAATTCTTTTTACTCCTAATTTATATTCATATATTAAATTAAATTTATCCTGTTCAGAACAAATAGTAACATCCTGGAATGGTTTAGATTAGTGATTAAGAACACCAGCTCTGAGTTACTCAGCCATTTACTATGTGAAAAACAGTAATTTTCACCTTATGCCATGGTTGAGAGAACTAAATAAAATAATATAACAAGAGGACCATTTAGCCTGGTGCCTGTAGATACTTAGAGCTTGATCTATATATTATTAACCATCGGTTATTATTATTATACCAAACATTGAACACTTTTTTGACTTTTAATTATACATTTTGGAAAACTAAGACCCAACAAATTACTTTCTCCAGAGAACAAAACTAATGAAGATAGATTTGGGACAAGAACCCAAGACACCGACTTACGGGATGGTGATCTTTTGTGTAAATCACTGTCAGATATACACATTTGTTCAATTTGAGGATTTGGTGCCTGAAATTTGGTAGTCCTGGCATGCTTTAATAAAATAGATGCCTTGAAATTGCAGTAGGGGAACTAGCATCCTGTTCATTGAGGACAGAATTGTTTTGAAAACAACTGGTCTTGTCTTTATTGCAAAATATATCTGTAGTTCATTAACTCTCTGAAAAAGACCATTGTTATGGAAAAGTTTAAAAGCCCCTTCTTCCCTCAGGCTATGAGAGAAGGGCTAAAATGAGGACTTTGTAGGACACATCAGGCAAATACATCATTTATTCTTAATTTATTGACTGGCTCCATAGGCATGAACCTCATGCTTATAAATCAGAAGCATCCTTACAAGGTGGGAAAGCCCACGATCTTTGGTATTATGACTGGGCTTATTCCTTGTTTTCCAACTTTAGTGACTGCTGAGCATCGGTGCAGCTGGGCAGCACATGGTTATTTAAGTATAAAATTATACACTGAAATATAAGATTACATTTTCAAGTGTACTTCACCATTGTTCTGGTATTCAGATGTTCTTACAGTGACATCAGCATCATCTTCATTTTTGTTGGACAGTGTAAATAACTAGCCCAAGGTTATACCTGTATTACTAGATAGTTAGGGTAAACCTATATTCCTAGCTTTCACTTCAAAGTTCAAGTGATTTTTCTCCATTGTTTGAATCATGATTGTAGAAATAAATGAATCTCATTAAATCAAATTACTGTGGACTTTTTTCCTTTAACAAAGTGTGGGTTTGTAGCCTTAAAGCTAAACCTACTCCTTAAGAGATAATTTTCCTAGCAGCCTTAAGGTAAAGGAAATAATGGTAGACAGGAGGGTGTGGACCAGACTATTCTTGTTCATTGCCAGATATTTGGCCCCATATTAATTTTCAGTAACTTTACTCTGTCACTATGAAAACCAAAGACAATAGGGCTCTCCCTTTCCCCCAACTTTCTAGAAGTCCTTTTGAGAACCTCTGGTTTAGATTCCCTGGGAGTAAATGAAAGAACCAAAGGCCACTGATTTTTAATAAGTACTCTTCTCTAAAAGCTTTTGACACTAAATTCACCATCTTACCAGTAGAGTCTGAATATTTTGTGTTTTAACCCACCAGTCCCTTTAGCAAAACTATTTTGAAGCCTATAAGGTGACGAATATTAAACTAAAAGGGAAATATTCTTACACTTTCCTGAAACTGGGCCTAACATCTATTTAGTAAAAAACACTAAATGCCAGTAAATTGGACAAAGTGACTTCAGTGGTTAAGTAGTTTTCCTTCCTTATTTACTTTTATCTATGACTGTCTCCTGAGTTCCTTTAGCTTTTTTATAGTGCAAATACTTTTCATTTAAGATCGTGCTCACTAAAAACGCACATACATAATTCTGAAAGTTTATAAAACTGGACCTTCAATACAAAACGCAAAATAATCAGAAGAGCAGACAGGAAGGACAAAATAGAGGCCTTAAAACAATACTAAAAGGGAGGGCTTAAAACCATAGCAATAATGCAGGAATTGATCAAACTCAAAGTTAATCCATGAGAAGTCAGAGAGGAGTATTAATGCGGCTGTGCCAATGGCAAAGCCTGGTGCTGCTCCCATGTACGTGAGACTCCAAGTGAGCCCTTGTATATATGAATAATGCTTTAAAAGTTGAAATCAAGTCAAATTTCTCACAATATACAACTGAACATCTTCCCATTGTGCTCTTAATCCTCTCCCTTAAAATTAAATGGAAAAAGAGAAAAACACCCATAAACCTTGCTACCTATCTGTGAATAAAATCTTCTTTGCCTGACTTGTCTGAGTGTTCTGTCTCAGCAGACTCAAGCAATAGGTTGAGAACCTTTAGGATGGTCTTTGGATTAGAGAGGGGCAGTGACAGTTGAATATAGGTTATGGGTTAGGAGTTAATGTTTATGTAATAAAAGTGGAGATCACTTTACCCTCTGGAGCATTCTTTTCTGGGAAATTTGGCCACACCAAGAAAAGATCTAAAAATGATAACATTCAGAATTTCCCAATAAAAGAGTCCAGCTAGATCTTCCTACTGTGAAGTCTGCAATAGAAAAACTATGTGTATGCGCTTCTAAAAAAGCTTTTAATCTACCACTTATAATACGAACAGGTAGAGAAAAAAATAAACAAGCATCTTGGAGGAGGCAGATTTTATAAAGATTAAGGGGAACTTTAAAATAAGTGTTATTACTAAATTCAGAGTTAAGAAAAATATGTTGAATCCATGGAAAAATAATGGGATGCTGTGTCAAACAAACAAGCAGAGAATGAATTATTCTTAAAAATTAAAACAGCAGAAATATACACTTGAGAAAAACTTGAAAGATAAAAATATTCTCAGAGATAGAGCAAAACAAATTTTTTAAAAGAATCTAAGACACAAAAAATTTTTAGAAGTTAATATAAGACAATAGAGAACCACTTTAGGAGATGTAACATCAAACTGACAGAAAATCTGGAAAGAGATAATAGAAAAACTAGAAAGTAGGAAACGATAATTCAAGAAAATTTGTCAGAAATGAAGAATATCAATTTCCAGATTATGCCCAGCACAATAGCCAAAAATCAGCTAACACAAAGGTACATAATTATTCAATTTCAGGACTTGAAGGCAAAGGAAAGGGATTCTAAAAGCTTCCAGAAAGAATATAAACATGATCAATAATTAGAAAGGCTTGTGATCTATGGAAGTTACAGTAAAGCTAGAGGACAATGCAGAAATGCCTTCAAGATGTGGAGAAAAAATAATTTTGAATCAATAATTACTAAACCCAGCAGAGCTATATAAGTCAAGTGTGAGGGTAGACTAAAGATATTTTCAAACCTGAAATCTTTCAAGTATAGTCATTCATCATTTAACGACAGGGACACGTTTTGAGAAATGCATCTTTAGGCAATTTCGTTGTTGTATGAACACCATAGAGTGTACTTACACAAACCTAGATGATGTTGCCTGCTACACACCAAGGCTAGAAGCTATGGCCTACTGCTCCTAGGCTACAAACCTGTACAGCATGTTACTGAACTGAATACTGTAGGTAATTGTAACATCATGATTAGTATTTGCATATCTAAATATAGAAAATACAATATAAAATATTATAGATAACACACCTGTATAGAACACTTACCATGAATGGAGCTTATAGGAACGGATGTTGCTCTGGGTGAGTCAGAGAGTGGGTGGTGAGTGAATGAGAAGGTCTAGGATATTACTGTACACTACTATAGACTTTATAAATACTCTACACGTAGGCTACACTAGTTGTATAAAAACATTTTTCTTTCTTTAAAAATAAATTAAAATAAATTTACTCTAACATTTTTACTTTATAAACTTTTTACTTTTTTTAACTTTTTGAATCTTTTGTAATAGCACTTAGCTTGAAACACAAGCACATTGTATAGCTGTATGAAAATATGTTTTTAATATACTTATTTTATAAGCTTCTTTCTATTGGTAAAGCATCTTATTATTATTATTTATTTTTTAAACATTTTTGTTAAAAACTAAGACATAAACACACAGATTAACCTAGGCCTACTATGGGTCAGGATCATCAGTAATCTGTCTTCTACCTGCACATCTTCTGTCTTCTACCTGCACATCTTTTTTCCACTGGAAGGTCATCAGGGGCAAAAGCATGCATGGAGCTGTCATTCCTGTGATAATATTGTCTTCTTCTGGAATAGCTACCCAAGAACCTGCCTGAGGGTTTATTACAATTAACTATTTTTCATGTAAGTAAAAGAAGTACACTCTAGAATAATAATAAGCAAGTATAGTATAGTAAATACGTAAACCAGTAACATTATCATTTATTATCATTGTTAAGTATTATGCATTATACATGATTGTATGTGCTATACTTGTAAACAGCTGGCAGCCGGTTGGTGTAAACTGGTTTGTTTACACCAACATCAGCACAAACCATGAGTAATGCATTGGGCTAGGATCCTGCTTTCCAGCTCCATTATAATTTTATGAGTCTACTGTCTATATGTGGTTCATTGTTTACCAAAACATCGCTATGTGGTACATGACTGTAATTTATCGCCCATGCTGTCTTTCTTACAAAACTACTGGAAAACTTGTTTCACCCTAATGAGAGAGTAAATCAAGAAAGAGAAAAACAGGATGCAGGAAATAGAAGCTCCAACTCAGAAAAGAGAGAAAGAGATTGCTCCAGGTTGGAGTTGAAGGTAAATTTCAGGATCATGGAATTTCCAAGGCATGGATCACAACCAATCTAGTTGGAGCAGATCAGAGGCCTCTGAAGAGTTGCATTCAGGAACTTGATACAATTTTTATGAATTTCAAACAACTCAGGAAGAGTTAGGACACAGAAGACTAAACCAACAAAAAACACTATGGTTAATACCAACAAAGTATACAGAGAGTTGCTCAAGAAAAGAAAAATAATTCTAGTGTAAAATGCAGCCCAGCCAGAATTTAAAAAAATATAGTAATAATGTAAACCTTGAATATTGCTCTAACTAAAGTTAAAACTCTCTTTGAAGTATGTAGAAATTTATGCAGTAGAGAGGGTTAGACAGTGAAAATAATGCTAAATTCACATTCCCCATTGTGGAAAATCAACAAATTGACATTTAACTTTTTTTAAAGCATCAATATTACAACGTTATTTGATAATATGTAGGTAAAGAAACATCTACAAATGTTGAAAGTGAACTCTGAGGTGTGGGAAATGTGGTTGTTAGGGAGAGAGGTGATGGATTTCTATTTCACAATTTTAATGGAAATTTTTGACTCATTCAACCGTCTGTGTGTATATACATCTATGTATATGTCTATATAAATATCTATCGTTGAACACAAAAAATTAATTATAAATTTAAGAAGAGTTAGTGCTGGTTATGTTTTATTACAGCATTTTCTCTTGCGTTCACCTTAGTCACATTGTCTCATTGTTGGAAACCTAAAAGTAAATTAATATTGGTATTTGCCACCTATGTTTTAAGAATATTTTATTTTATTTAAAATTGTAAAATTGGATGCTTTACTCTTTAATCAATATAATTATTTTAATGTTATTTATGGTTTAGCTGGCATAGATAGACTAAGGATTGTATTACATTTTTTTAAGTGCTTTCCGTCACAAAACTCTGATCATTCCAAAGAGCTGCTAGGATAAGTTTGGGCCACCTGTAACTTCTTAAATGATCTTAAGGTGTGCTGATGTTGCATGCAATAGAGAAGAAGTCAATCATGCTTATTGGTAGTACAGAGAAATGAGCCATAAGTGACTTTGGAATCATATTTTCCTACTTCACAGATAATTTGACTTCAGGTAATATTTACTGAACTTGAGATTCACTGGCACTTTGTTCACTTCTATAAAGTATGCAAAATCTTTAGGTACAGGTTTTCTAAATCACTCCCATTGCTCTTTATTTCAAGATCTAGCTCATACTGTCCTTTCTAGATTTGAAAGCTCATTTGAAAACATATTTTCTTTTCACCTCATTATCCATTTATTTTATTTTTTTCTTACTTGCTTTATTATTTTGAAATACTTCACTGAACTTTTTGACACCTGGTTTGTAGGAGAGAGAATCTGCTATTTCAGATTCTTGCTGATATTCCTTGCTGGTATTTTAGAATACAGAAAAAAATATAAAACTATTAGATAATGTTGTACAAGTTATTGATGTAGAAAAGGTAAAATAAAAGCCTCGTCTGTTCTACTTATTGTTCTCTTCATCCTCTCTAGTATATATCTTCTTGGTTTTCCCTAAGTGTTGCAACTCATTAAATTTTACTAATCATTTTTTTCTGATTAAGGAGATGACTTACTGCTTCCACTATTTTACCATAAAATGGAAACAATAAATGAAACACTTCTAAAAGATCAGTTAATTTAGGAGACCAATAGTAAATAACATCCTTTTAAAAGAGGCCAAGCTTATTATCATGTAGTCAATATACTTAAAGAATTTCCAAGCCATTTTGGTCCTTTTTGTTCCTCTAAGAATTAAACACACATACACCCAGAGCCATACACAAATAATTCTTTAAGTATCACCACATAGACCACTGGGTAAGTGTCCCTATTTTTCTCCTGAGCAGTCTACATATGTATACTACATTTGATCCAAGCCAGAAATTTTTACCTATGTTACATTTGAGTTCTAATATATGACAAGAAAGCAACTAGGTTATACCAGGACCTACGTCATCATGATAACAAATTTTTCACTATTGGTTCTATAATTCTTTAATTTTGTAATTTCAGCAACATGGTTATTTAAGTAAACAAAAATATTCATAATTGAAGACCACAGATGATAGTGACATCCTTATATTCCTCCCTGCATTTAGATTTTTTCTCAGTTTTATATTAGGTATTTGAGGGAAAAAAAAGCTTGTTTCACATACCGAAGTAGTTAATGGGTAATCACAAAATTTTAGGTGAAAGGACTCATGTAATCCTGAATTTAATAATAATGATAAGAACAGCACCAAGTTACAATCTTTTAATGGCCCAGCTATAAGAAGTTGTGTAATATGAATACATATTTTAAGGGAAACTATAATATTTCTATAAACACTATCCTGGCTGTGCAAGTCAATGAATCAACTTCTAATTGTTAAAAAATAACACATTTTAGTGTAATCATAAGTTTTCTTTAAATTTTATTTTTATGATAGTTACATTTGCACATATTTAAAAGGGTCAAGTGGTTCTACAAGTCTTATTAAGAAAAATAGCAATTGCCCCTACCCTTCCATCCATTAGCATTTTCTCAGATGCAACCTTCAGCTGTTTCAGCTGTTACTTCTGGTATTTTTCCTCCGCTGGTATAAGTAAAAATAATAAGAACAATTGTTGATAACAAGAAGAATATATTTCTATTTCTTAATCTTTTCCACTTTCTACAATGGAAGAAAAGGATTGAACTCTTTCACTTACTACATTTCAGAGATAAACATACATACTTCCCAATTCTCTATCTTCGCTCTGTAATTATTGGATAATTTTGATTGGAAATATTCAGGAAAAATTATTAAATGTATGCAAGCACTGTTCACAGGTAAGCTATGTATAAACTTTGACTACTTTCCCCCCTTTTTCTTTTTTTTTTTCTTTGAGACGGAGTCTCGCTGTGTCGCCCAGGCTGGAGTGCAGTGGCGCGATCTCGGCTCACTGCAAGCTCCGCCTCCTGGGTTCATGTCATTCTCCTGCCTCAGCCTCGCGAGTAGCCGGGACTACAGGCGCCCGCCACTACGCCTGGCTAATTTTTTGTGTTTTTAGTAGAGACGGGGTTTCACCATGTTAGCCAGGATGGTCTCGATCTCCTGACTTTGTGATCCACCTTCCTCGGCCTCCCAAAGTGCTGGGAGTACAGGCATAAGTCACGGCGCCCGGCCCTACTTTCCCTTTTTAAAGCATTTTTTTTTTCCTCTGTAGTTAATAATCATCTTATTTGTTGTTAGCTTTATTTTCTATGTACTAACCAATGAAAGATGCCCAAAGTCTCCCAGTTACATAAACAATTCTATGGTTCTAATTTTCTTATAGAATATCTTCCTGGAGCCTTCTCAGCTTCTCCATTCTTGCTCTTTCTGTCCAATGAATTGTTGCATTCCTGGTACCTCCTATCATCTTCATCGTGGAGCTTTTCTTTGCCTTTATATTTGCCTTAATAAAATGGCAAAGAAAATCTCATCTTCTGGATCCCATATCTCCCTTTTTCTTGGTTATTTTCTCATTTTCATAGAGCACTCCTTTAGAAGTTTCTCATGAAGGATGCATGACAGCTAAATTTGTGAAACTCTTGAATGTATGAAAGTGTCTTCAATCTCTCCTTACCATTGATCTGTCATTTGGGGTAGGAAAAGGAAACAAGGCAGATCTTTTTAACCTCAGTTAAAAAGTAATGTCTTCATTGTATTTTAGCTGCTAGCTCTGCTCTTAAGTGGTCTAAAGCCAATCTGCTTTCTCATTCCTTAAGTGTGACCTATTTTATCTTTCTGAAAGTGTTAGAGTCTTCTATTTAATCCATGGTTCTGAATTTACACTCTGAAGTGCTCTGGGGTAAACTCTTACCCCACTTAATGGGTTATTAATAGAATCTTTCAACTTTGGAATTCATGTCTTTTAGTTCAGAGAAGTTTTCTTGATTATTTAATGATTTACTGTGCTCTGTTTTATCATTTGTATGTTATGCCTTTTGGGCTGACTCACTGCTTTTCATATAAATCTCATATAACTCATCTTTTTGTCACATTGAAACTGACCCAATAGTCCCATAGACTGTTCTTTTGGATAAACATAGAAATTGACCTTTCTCGTCTTAAAGCTTGAAGCTTACATTTGTTTTATGTTAGTTCCTTCCTCAGCAAAGGACCCTCAGGCCTCTGGAGAAAAAAAAGTATCGAAGAACTGAAACTCATGAGATCACCACAGCCAGACAATGAGACTTTGGACCCCTCATTCATCCTGATTGCTTCTTTGCTCCTCCCTCGTTCCTATTTTCTTACACATATTATATTTTTTTCCCTGCTATGTAAACCCCGAGTTTTAGTGGTCAGGCAGATGGATTTGAGGTTGAGCTCCCATCTCCTCAGCTGCAGCACCCAATTAAATCCTTCTTCCTTGGCAATACTTTTTGTGTCAGTGATTGGCTTTCTGTGCTGTGAGCAGCAGGACCTAGACTGAAACCCTGGTGTTTCAGGAATAAATTTGCTCTTCTTTCTGGGCTATTTTTTCACCTTTTAACAAAAAAATTCAGCTAAAAAAATGGGATACATGTACAGAACGTGCAGGTTTGTTACATAGATATACATGTGTCATGGTGGTTTGCTGCACCTATTGACCCGTCCTCTAAGTTCCCTCCCCTCATCCCCCAACCCCCAACAGACCCTGGTGTGTATTGTTCCACTCTCTGTGTCCATGTGTTCTCAATGTTAAACTCCCACTTATGGGTGAGAACATGTGATGTTTGGTTTTCTGTTCCTGTGTTAGTTCGCTGAGGATGATGGCTTCCAGCTTCATCTATTTCCCTGCAAAGGACATCATCTCATTCCTTTTTATGGCTGTATAGTATTCTATGGTGTATATATACCACACATTCTTTATCCAGTCTGTCGTTGATGGGCATTTGGGTTGATTCCATGTCTTTGCTATTGTAAATAGTGCTGCAGTAAATATACGTGTGCATGTGTCTTTATAGTAGAATGATCTATATTCCTTTGGGTGTATACCCAGTAATGGGATTGCTGGGTCAAATGGTATTTCTGGTTCTAGATCCTTGAGGAATCGCCATACTGTCTTCCACAATGGTTGAACTACATTCCCACCAACATTGTAAAAGTGTTCCTATTTCTCCACATCCCTGCCAGCACCTGTTGTTTCCGGACTTTTTAATAATTGCCATTCTGACTGGCATGAGATGGCATCTCATTGTGGTTTTGATTTGCATTTCTCTAGTGATCAGTGATGTTGAGCTTTTTTTCCATAGGTTTGTTGGCCGCATAAATATCTTTTCTTGAGACGTGCCTGTTCATATACTTTGACTACTTTTCAATGGGGTTGTTTGTCTTTTTCTTGTAAATCTGTTTAAGTTCCTTGTAAATTCTGGATGTTAGACCTTTGTCAGATGGGTAGCTTGCAGAAATTTTCTCCCATTCTGTAGGTTGCCTGTTCACTCTGATGACAGTTTCTTTTGCTGTGCAGAAGCGCTTTAGTTTAATTAGATTCCATCTGTCAATTTTGGCTTTTGTTGCAATTGCTTTTGGCATTTTTGTCATGAAGTCTTTGCCCATGCCTATGTCCTGAATGGTATTGCCTAGGTTTTCTTCAAGGGTTTTTATGGTTTTGCATATTATGTTTAAGTCTTTAATCCATCTTGAGTTAATTTTTGTATAAGGTGTAAGGAAAGGGTCCAGTTTCAATTTTCTGCATATGGCTAGCCAGTTTTCCTAGCACCATTTACTGAATAGGAGATCCTTTCCCCATTGCTTGTTTTTGCCAGGTTTGTCAAAGATCAGATGGTTGTGGATGTGTGGTGTTATTTCTGAGGTCTCTGTTCTGCTCCATTGGGTAATATGTCTGTTTTGGTGCCAGTACCATGCTGTTTTGCTTACTGTAGCCTTGTAGTGTAGTTTGAAGTCAGGTACCATGATGCCTCCAGCTTTGTTCTTTTTGCTTAGCATTCTCTTGGCTATACCGGGTCTTCTTTGGTTCCATATGAAATTTAAAGTAGGTTTTTTTTTTAAATTCTTTGAAGAATGTCAATGGTAGTTTGATGAGAATAGCATTGAATCTATAAATTACTTTGGGCAATATGGTCGTTTTCATGATCTTGATTCTTCCTATCCATGAGGATAGAATTTTTGTTTGTTTGTTTGTGTCCTCTCTTATTTCCTTGAGTAGTGGTTTGTAGTTCTCCTTGAAGAGGTCTTTGCATCCCTTGTTAGCTGTATTCCTAGGTATTTTATTCTCTTTGTAGTGATTGCAAATGGGAGTTCACTCATGATTTGGCTCTCTGCTTACCTATTATTGGTGTAAAGGAGTGCTTGTGATTTTTGCGCATTGATTTTGTATCCTGAGACTTTTCTGAAGTTGCTTGTTAGTTCAAGAAGTTTTTGGGCTGAGATGATGGGGTTTTCTAAATATAAATTCATCTTATCTGCAAACAGAGACAACTTGACTTTCTCTCTTCCTATTTGAATACCCTGTATTTCTTTCTCTTGCCTGATTTCCCTGGCCAGAACTTCCAATACTATGTTCATTAGGAGTGATGAGAGAGGGCATCCTTTTCTTGTACCAGCTTTCAAAGAGAATCCTTCTGGCTTCCCATTCAATATGATATTGGCTGTGGGTTTGTCATAAACAGCTCTTATTATTTTGAGATATGTTCCATCAATACCTAGTTTATCGAGAGTTTTTAACATGAAGGGATGTTGAATTTTATGAAAGGCCTTTTCTGCATCTATTGAGATAATTATGTGGTGTTTGTTTTTGGTTCTGCTCATGTGATGGATTACATTTATTGATTTAAGTATGTTGAACAAGTCTTGCATCTCAGGGATGAAGCCAACTTGATCGTGGTGGATAAGCTTTTTGATGTGCTGCTGGATTTGGTTTGCCAGTATTTTATTGATGATTTTCTCATTGATGTTCCTCAGGGATATTGGCCTGAAGTTTTCCTTTTTTGTTGTGTCTCTTCCTGGTTTTGGTATCAGGATGATGCTGGCTTCATAAAATGAGTTAGGGAGGAGTCTCTCTTATTCAATTGTTTGGAATAGTTTCAGAAGGAATGGTACCAGCTCCTCTTTGTATTCCTGGCAGAATTCAGCTGTGAATCTGTCTAGTCCTAGGGTTTTTTTGTTTGGTAGTCTATTAATTACCGCCTCAATTTCAGAGCTTTGTATTGGTCTATTCAGGGACTCAACTTCTTCCTAGTTTAGTCTTGGTAGAATGTATACATCCAGGAATTCATCCATTTCTGCTAGGTTTTCCAGTTTATTTGTGTACAGGTGCTTATACTACTCTCTGATGGTAGTTTGTATTTCTGTGGGGTCAGTGGTGGTATCCCGTATGTCATTTTTTATTTTGTCGATTTGATTCTTCTGTCTTTTCTTCTTTATTAGTCTAGCTTGTGGTCTATCTATTTTGTTAATTTTTTTTCAAAAAACCAGTTCCTGGATTTGTTGATTTTTTTGGAGGATTTTTTTTTTTATCTCTATCTCCTTCAATTCTTCTCTGATCTTAGTTATTTCTTGTCTTCTGCTAGTTTTGGATTAGTTTGCTCTTGCCTCTCTAGCTCTTTTAATTGTGATGCTGGGTGTCGATTTGAGATCTTTACAGCTTTCTGATGTGGGCATTGAGTGCTATAAGTTTCCCTCTTAACACTGCTTTAGCTGTGTCCCTGAGATTCAGGTACATTGTCTCTTTGTTCTCATTGGTTTCAAAGAAGTTCTTGATTTCTGCCTTAATTTCATTATTTACCCAGAAGTCATTCAGGAGCAGATTGTTCAATTTCCATGAAATTGTGTGGTTTTGAGTGAGTTTCTTAATCCTGATTTCTAATTTGATTGCACTGTGGTCTCAGAGACTGTTATGATTTCCGTTATTTTGCATTTGCTGAGGAGTGTTTTACTACCAATTATGTGGTCGATTTTAGAATAAGTGCCACATGGCACTGAGAAGAATGTATATTCTGTTTATTTGGGGTAGAGATTTCTGTAGACATGTACTAGGTCCACTTGATCCACTGCTGAGTTCAAGTCCTGAATATCCTTGTTAATTTTCTGTCTCGTTGATATGTCTAATATTGACAGTTGGTTTTAAAGTCTCCCACAATTATTGTTTGGGAGTCTAAGTGTCTTTGTAGGTCTTTAGGAACTTGTTTTATAAATCTGGGTGCTCCTTTATTGGGTGTATATATATTTAGAATAGTTAGCTTTTCTTTTGTTGAATTGTTCCCTGTACCATTATGTAATGCCCTTTGTCTTTTTTTGATCTTTGCTGGTTTAAAGTCTGTTTTGTCAGAGACTAGGACTGCAACCCCTGCTTTTTTTTTTTTTTTTTTCTTTCCATTTGCTTGGTAAATTTTCCTCCATCCCTTTATTTTGAGCCTATGTGTGTCTTTTCATGTAAGATGGGTCTCCTGAATACAGCACACTGATGGGTCTTATTCCTCATCCAATTTACCAATCTGTGTCTTTTCACTGGGGCATTTAGCCCCTTTACATTTAAGGTTAGTATTGTTATGTGTGAATTTGATCCTGGCATCATGCTGCTATTTGGTTATTTTGCACACTAGTTGATGCAGTTTCTTCAAAATGTCATTGGTCTTTATACTTTGGTGTGTTTTTGCAGTGGCTGGTACCAGTTATTCCTTTCCGTATTTAGTGCTTCTTTCAGAAGCTCTTTCAAGGCAGGCCTAGTGATAACGAAATCCCTCAGCATTTGCTTGTCTGGGAAGGATTTTATTTCTCCTTCACTATGAAGCTAAGTTTGTCTGGATACGAAATTCTGGGTTGGAAATTCTTTTCTTTAAGAGTGTTGAATACTGGCCCTCAATCTCTTCTGGCTTGTAGAGTTTTGACTGAGAGGTCTGCTGTTAGTTTGATGGGCTTCCCTTCATAGGTGATCTGGCCTTTCTCTCTGGCTGCCCTTAACAGTTTTTCCTTCATTTCAACCTTGGAGAATCTGATGATTATGTGTCTTGGGGTTGATCTTCTCATGGAGTATCTTAATGGTGTTCCCTGTATTTCCTGAACTGCATGTTTGCCTGTCTTGCTAATTTGGGGAAGTTCTCCTGGATAATATCCTGAAGTGTGTTTTGCAGCTTGTTGCCATTCTCCCCATCTACTTCTGGTACTCCAATCAATCGTAGGTTCAGTCTTTTTGTAAAGTCTCTTATTTCTTGGAGGCTTTGTTCATTCCTTTTCATTCTTTCTTCTCTATTCTTGTCTGCATGTCTTATTTCAGTAAAGTGGTCTTCAGATTCTGATATGCTTTCTTCTGCTTGGTCGACTTGGCTGTTGATACTTGTTTACGCTTCATGAAGTTCTAGTGCTGCATTTTTTTTTCCAGCTCCATCAGGTCATTTATGTTCTTCTTTACAATGATTATTCTAGTTCGCAGTTCCTCTAAATTTTTATCAATGTTCTTAGCTTGTTTGCATTGAGTTACAACATACTCCTTTAGCTGATCATAGTTTTTTATTGCCCATCTTCTGAAGCCTCTTTCTGTCAAGTCATCCCTCTGATCCTCCACACAGTTCTGTGCCCTTGATGGAGAGATGTTGCAATCGTTTGGAGGGGAAGAGGCACTCTGGCCTTTTGGGCTTTCAGCATTTTTTCATTGATTCTTTCTCATCTTTGTGAGTTTGTCTAGATTTGGTCTTTGAGGCTGCTGACCCTTAAGTGGGGTTTTTGTGGGGGCCTTTTGTTGTTTTGTTGATGCTGTTGTGTCACTTTCTGCTTGTTTGTTTTTCTTTCAATAGTCAGGTCCCTCTTCTATAGGGCTACCACAGTTTGCTGAGGGTTCACTTCAGGCCCGATTCATGATTCACTCCCTTGCCTGGATATGTCACTCAAGGAGGCTGGAGAGCAGCAAAGATGGGTGCCTGCTCCTTCTTCTGGGACCTCTGACCTCGAGGGGCACCAACATGATGCCAGTAGGATTGTTCCTATATAGGGTGTCTGACAACCCCTGTTGGAGGGTCTCACTCACTTGGGTGGCATAGGGGGCAGGACCCATTTAATGAAGCACTTGTTCCTTGGTGGAGAGTGTGTTTCACTGAGGGGAAACCCACTCATCTGGGCAGCCTGGATTCCTCAGAACTACCAGGACCAGAGGCTAAGTCTGCTGGTCTGCAGAGACTGCAGCCACCACCCCACCTAGGGGCTCAGGCCCAGAGAGATCTGGGTTCTGTCCTTGAGCTTCTGGCTGGAGTTACTGGAGATCCTTCAGGGAGGCCCTGCCCAGTGAGGAAGGATGGGTCAGGGTTGGGCGTGAAGAGGCCCTCTGGCCGCAGACTGCCACAGCCGGTGTGTTTGGCTGTGGGGACAAGTCTTGGGACCAACTTGTCCAGCCTCCCCAGCTCCACCAGGGGAAAATCGCATTCTGGACCTATAGAAATGGGTGCTGCCCTTTACCTACCCAGGGAGCTTAGCATGTAAGGCAGTTGTGAGTCCCAGTGATGGCTGCTGCCCCTCCTCCAAGGAGCACAAATGGCTTAGACAGCAGGCAGTTGCAGCTGGTGCTGGTCACCCCTCTCCCCAGGAGCTTGGTGGACTTAAGCAGATTCTAGCTGAGAGGCTGTAAGAATCTGTCAATTCTGGAGTTGGGATGCTAGGCCCTGGTGGTGTGGGTTCGCGAATGGGATCTTCTGGTTCATGGGTTGGACAATTCCGTAGAAAAAGCACAGTTTCCCCGGCTGGGTAGTGCACTCACTCACCGCCTCCCTTGGCTGGGGGGAGGGGGTTCCCCTTCCCTATGTGGCTCTCAGGTGGGCTGTCACACCACACTGCTCTTCTTTTTCTTCATAGGTCACACCAGCCTTCTAGTCAATTTTGATGAGAGAACCTGAATGCCTTGGTTGCTGGTGAAGGATTCACATGCATATTAAGGGTTTTTCTGATGGGAGCCTCTGATCGCCACTGCTTCTAGTTGGCCATCTTGGCCCCACCTTATTTTTTTATCTTATCTTTCAACTGTTGCACTGAGATTTTTTTTAATATCATATTTTACATTTTTAATAGGTTTCTTGTTCTCTAAGCACACACATATATGTATATGATTCTATCTTTGTGTCGTGAATGCAATTTCTTTTTTAAATTTTTCTGGGATTATTAATACATATATATTTGAGGTTTTCATCTCCTTGTATAGTCTGTTTCCTCCTAGTGCTTTTTCTCTATTTGTATATTTGTAGGTTTTCTTTCTATCATTCATGTTACAGGCTTTCATGAGGTGTCTACTAATCCTTTTTAAATCTGTTCTGTGAAGTAGGGGACCAAAAACTGTTTAAAAGCTATAGCCTTGTTGAATTTTTTTGGTTGAAAGATTACAACCAATTCACCATAGAATGAACTGGTTGTAATCTTTGGCTGGGAAACCTCAAATGACGGTGTCTTTTCTTTTGAAAAGAAGAGTAGTCTTGCCTAAAGAGTAGTTTTGCCTAGGGAAGAATAATTTTGCCTAAAGTTACAAGTCTGGCTGCCAGCTTTCTAGAAACTGAATGGTGAGAGAAATATGGTCAGTTTTAATGTTGGGTACGAACTCATGGGCTGCTCAGTTTTAATGTTGGGTACAAACTCACCGGCTGCTCCTATTTGGGTATAGCATCCTTTTTTTACTTTTCCTCTTGAGAAATCCGGGGACTTTCCTTTCCATTCTTCCTGGAAAATAAGCCTCCAAGAGACTTCTGCTGAAATGTTGAGTGAGATCTGGATTTTCAACAATTTCTCAAATAGACTTTCATCAAATTCCAATTTGTGTTAACCAACCCCTTTTCCTTCTCCTTAGATATTTATGCTGTTATCATTTCTTATCTTTTTTTTTCCCCCGGAGATAGGGTCTTGCTCTTCACCCAGACTGGAGTGCAGTGGTGTGTTCTTAGCACACCACAACCTTGAACTCCTGGGCTCAAGTGATCCACCCCTCAGTCTCCTTAGTAGCTAGAGCTGCAAGTGTGCACCACCACACCCAACTAAGTAATTAATTAATTAATTATTATTTTTTTTCTAGAGATGAGATCTGACTATGTTGACTAGGCTGATACCAAACCCCTAACCCCAAGTGATCCTCCTGCCTCAGCCTCCCAAAGTGCTAAGTTTATACTTTGGTGTTATGCACCCAGACTCATTTCTTACCTTTCATGAATTCTGAGGCACCACTAGATTGCTTCCTGGCTTTCCCACTGCTGCATAAGTGTTGAGTATCTTTGGGCCTTCTAAGTCCATGATCACTTGTTCTTGCACATTCCATACTCCAAAAAGTTGTGCCTAATATGCTTTGATTTATTCTATTTATTTTTGTGAGTTACATTTTAAAATCAATTTACTTTTATTTTTTAGAAGTTTTGTGAGGGACCAGAAATAAATATATATGGACAAATTGTCCTCTTTAAAGGACAGTTTGAGTAGTAAACATTTATTCCAATATAACTATATGCATGTATACATATTATGTAAATGTATAAATAAAGTGTAAAATGTTTATCAACCTTCTTAAATGACCACTTTTGAACCCCACGTAAGAGTTAATTGTGTAGCCATTTGTCATTTCTTTCATTACCTTTTTTCTGCCTTTGAAATAGTCTTAGAGCTCCTTTGTTTTGCTGAACTAGGAAATAGATAGAAATTAAGAAATTAACAGAATTGATAAAATAAATTGATATTTGCTTGTTAATTTCGAATTCTTATGATCATTCAGCAGCGTAAGTATTGCTTCCATTTTAAATATAGGGAAACTCAGGCTCTAAACTAATTTGCCTAAATTTTTCAAAATAGTGTGACTGGAATATAACAAGACTGAAATCCAACTAGCTGGAAATGTTGTAGCATTTATACACAAGAAACACATGTATGCACATGTATGTAATTACTATATAAGTTATTCTATAAGAAACTCACTTAAAAAAATAAAAGCCCATCAGAGGGGATTACAGCTCATGCTTGTAATCCCAGCACTTTGGGATGCCAAGGTGGGCAGAACACCTGAGTCAGGAGTTTGAGACCAGCCTGGCCAACATGGCGAAACCCCGTCTCTACTAAAAATACAAAAATTAGCCAGGTGTGGTGGTGTGTGCCTGTAGTCCCAGGTACTCTGGAGGCTGAGACAGGAGAATCGCTTGAACTGGGACGCAGAGATTGCAGTGAGCTGAGATTGTGCCACTGCACTCCAGCCTGGGTGACAGAGTAAGACTCTGCCATCTAAAAAAAAAAAAAAAAAAAAAAAAAAGGCCCATCAGTGGTTTTCTATGTAATTTTTTAAAGTGAGGACTTGCGAAGATCTTTAGGGAAAAGAGTTGCTGAAAAGGAATATTTAAAAAGTTGATGATTGTGTGCCATGTAATGTAACATGCTTATCTATCTTCCAACAAAATTGACAATATTTGTAAATACTTATGGGTAAGATTTTATGATTTTATGCTAAAGCAGTGAGAGAGATTATATTCAAATGTACCAAATATATTAAAAGTACACTATTTTGAAAAGCTTGGCAATTTATTCTGTTTCAGTTTTCTCATGATGTGGGATACCTACTTCACTGAATTGTTTAAAGGGTTGGAAATAAAAACCAAATCAATACTAGGAAGGTGGATTCTTAATAATATAATCTTTTATAATATATTAGATTCACCAAAACTGCTACATGTTGTTAAATGAATACAAATTCAATCTATGAATTTGGGATGAATTGGACTCACTACACATTCTCCCTTTTATTTTGTCCAAACTCTAATTCTGGCAAGTAACACTGAGCCTTAAGAAGAAGCCCTCTATTGTAACTGCAGTCTATTTCCTTGATATTCTCTTGCCAGAAATAATGAAAAGAATTCATTTTGAGAGTGTTTCTCTAATAGGAAATAGACTACTGTTTAAATTTGTTTTGCATTTCTATCTGTAGCACCTCACATATGATTGACAGACAATAGACTCACCATAAATACTTATTGAGTGAATAGATGAATGAAAATGTGATAAAGTTAAATCACAGATTTTTCTAGTTAGGCTTTCAACTAGTGTTATTGTTTCCTAACTTATCTTTAAGTCTGTAACTTATATTAGGGCAGAGGTCAGCAAATGTTTCTGTAAAGGGTCACATAATAAATATTCTAGGCATTGTTTCCTAACTTATCTTTAAATTTGTTTTCTAACTTATCTTTAAATCTATAACTTATATTAGGGCAGAGGTTAGCAAATGTTTATGTAAAGAGTCAGATAATAAGTATTTTAGGCATTTGATGTAAAATTGTAGACCATTGTAGCCATATGTTCTCTTGCAGCGAGTAAAGTCTGCCATTGTGGCATGAAAGTGGCCAAAGGTAGTATGCATACAAATGCACATGCTGTGTTCTAGTAAAACTTTAATTATAACCACTAAGGTTTAAAGTTTATATAATTATCACGGGGCACAAAATATTGCTCTTTTGATATTTTAGGGCAATTTAAAAATGCAAAAATCATTGTTATCACTCACAGGCTGCTTGGAAGCAGAAAGTGGGAGAGATTGATTGATTGTAGTTTGCCAGTTGTTTTGTTAAGGTATGGCTCTTTGCTTAAAAGCATATGGAGAAAATGCAATGAATAATTTCTTCCAGTTTCCAGCACAGCCATACAGCAAATATAAGATATTTCTATTACAAATTACAGTAGCATTTCTTTCTGAACTATTTTCAATAAGATTTTCATGGTAAATTTGAGATCCAGTTTATTCAAGTTTTATGGTTTCAGTATTATGACAATGATGTTTATCAAAACATTTTGTTCATCTGTTAAAGTTTTCATTGGATTCAAACAAATCATCTACTATTATTTTATTTCTTTCACCTTACTCAAAACCCTAATTATATTTGACTACTCCCTCTCCCTGCATCTCTCCCCCAACCCCCAAAGACAATTAATTTCTTAATTTTGTCAGTTTTCCTTTTCTTCAAGTCCTAAATGTCTTCTTTTCTGTCCCCACTCACAGCCCAGTTCAGGACCTCATCCATGGCTATATTTTGTGAAATAAACATTTTATATACTCGATTTCTGTTCTGTCAATCACCTGTCACTATAATCCTCTGAAGTGGGAAAATGATAAAAGGAGGGACTCATTAGGAAAACTGCCATGTACTCTTTTTCCTTACAAGGACAGGCATAAGGTATTTGTCAAAATTACAGGACAACTATCTTGGAAATAAATACAAAAAAATTGTTTTCAATGTCATAGGTTATGACAGAAAACAAATTACATGTCTAGGTTGTATTTAACCCCGACCACTTATTCACAGAATTTGCAAATAAGAAATTGAAAGGAGAAAGATCAAGATATCAGGCTTCAGGGATCAGCAAGAATTCTTTGATGGTTATCTCTTCCTGTTTTTAGACTTAACTGCATGAATTTCTCTATGTAAAAATCTTCTGATTGGATTATGAATATTTGACATTGATATTCAAGCACCAGGATTGCCAAGGACTGAATGTTTCTGTCCTCCCTCCCCCCTCACCCCAAATTCATATGTTGGAAACCCTAATCCCTAATGTGATGGGATTTGGAGATAGCTTTTGGGAGGCACTTAGGCCACGATGGTGCAGCCCTCACAGTGGGATTAGTGCCCATATCAGAAGAGATAGGAGATCTCTTTCTCCCTTCCTCCCTTCCTTCCTCTTTTTCTTTCTCTCTCTTTCTTTTTCTCTTTCTTTCTTTCTTTCTTTCTTTCTTTCTTTCTTTCTTTCTTTCTTTCTTTCTTTTTCTTTCTTTCTTCTTTCTTTCTTTCTCTCTCTCTTTCTCTTTCTTTCTTTCTTTCTTTCCCACCTCTCTCTCTCTCTTTCTCTCTGTCTCTCTACCCCTCTATCTCTTTCTGTTTGTCTCTCTCTCCCCACCCACCCATGTGAGAAAACCAGGAAAAGTGATCTCAGGAGATGCCAGATCTGGGAAACTTGATCTTGACTTCATAGCTTCTGGAAAAAAAATAAATGTTGCTGAGCTACTCACAGTATTTTGTTTTTTTTTTGTTTTTTTTTTTTTTTTGATTGTAAAGATATTTTATTTCTTAGAGACTTTCTAAGAAGGTAAAGGCATATAAGTAAATCTTATTAGACCTTCACTGTAAAGGACATATCATATTTATTCATACACATGCTGGAATTATTGGTGCAGACATTTAAATACATTTTCTTTGAGAAAGTCCTTTTTTTTTTTTTTTTTTTTGATGGAGTTTCCCTCTTGTTGCCCAGGCTGGAGTGCAATGGTGCAATCTCAGCTCACAACAACCTCTGCCTCCTGGGTTCAAGCAATTCTCCTGTCTCAGCCTCCCAAGTAGCTGGGATTACAGGCATGCACCACCACGCCCAGCTAATTTTTTTTATTTTTAGTAGAGACGGGGTTTCTCCGTGTTGGTCAGGCTGGTCTTGAACTCCTGATCTCAGGTGATCTGCCCGCCTTGGCCTGCCACAGTGCTGGGATTACAGTCGTGAGCCACCACAGCTGGCCTGGGAAAGTCCATTCTTTTTTTTTTTTTTTTTTTAATTTATTTTTTTATTGATAATTCTTGGGTGTTTCTCACAGAGGGGGATTTGGCAGGGTCATGGGACAATAGTGGAGGGAAGGTCAGCAGATAAACAAGTGAACAAAGGTCTCTGGTTTTCCTAGGCAGAGGACCCTGCGGCCTTCCGCAGTGTTTGTGTCCCTGATTACTTGAGATTAGGGATTGGTGATGACTCTTAACGAGCATGCTGCCTTCAAGCATCTGTTTAACAAAGCACATCTTGCACCGCCCTTAATCCATTTAACCCTGAGTGGACACAGCACATGTTTCAGAGAGCACAGGGTTGGGGGTAAGGTCACAGATCAACAGGATCCCAAGGCAGAGGAATTTTTCTTAGTGCAGAACAAAATGAAAAGTCTCCCATGTCTACTTCTTTCTACACAGACACGGCAACCATCCGATTTCTCAATCTTTTCCCCACCTTTCCCGCCTTTCTATTCCACAAAACCGCCATTGTCATCCTGGCCCGTTCTCAATGAGCTGTTGGGCACACCTCCCAGACGGGGTGGTGGCCGGGCAGAGGGGCTCCTCACTTCCCAGTAGGGGCGGCCGGGCAGAGGCGCCCCTCACCTCCCGGACGGGCGGCTGGCGGGCAGGGGGGCTGACCCCCCCACCTCCCTCCCGGACGGGGCGGCTGGCCGGGCAGGGGGGCTGACCCCCCCACCTCCCTCCCGGACGGGCGGCTGGCCGGGCGGGGGGCCGACCCCCCCACCTCCCTCCCGGACGGGCGGCTGGCCGGGCAGAGGGGCTCCTCACTTCCCAGTAGGGGCGGCCGGGCAGAGGCGCCCTCACCTCCCGGACAGGCGGCTGGCTGGGTGGGGGGGCTGACCCCCCCCCACCTCCCTCCCGGATGGGGCGGCTGGCGGGCGGGGGGCGACCCCCCCACCTCCCTCCCGGACGGGGCGGCTGGCGGGCAGAGGGGCTCCTCACTTCCCAGTAGGGGCGGCCGGGCAGAGGCGCCCCTCACCTCACAGACGGGGCGGCTGGCCGGGCGGAGGGCTGATCCCCCCACCTCCTCCCGGACAGGGCGGCTGGCCGGGCGGGGCTGACCCCCCCACCTCCCTCCCGGACGGGGCGGCTGGCCGGGCAGAGGGGCTCCTCACTTCCCAGTAGGGGCGGCTGGGCAGAGGCGCCCCTCACCTCCCAGACGGGGCGGCTGGCGGGCGGAGGGCTGCCCCCCCACCTCCTCCGGACGGGGCGGCTGGCCAGGCGGGGGCTGCCCCCCTACCTCCTACGGACGGGCGGCTGGCCGGGTGGGGATGCCCCCCCATCTCCTCCGACGGGGTGCTGGCGGGCTGAGGGCTCCTCACTTCCAGTAGGGCGGCCGGGAGAGGGCCCCTCACCTCCGGACGGGGCGGCTGGCCGGGCGGGGCTGCCCCCCCACCTCCTCCCGGATGGCACGGCTGGCCAGGCGGGGGCTGACCCCCCCACCTCCTCCCGGATGGCACGGCTGGCCGGGCGGGGGGCTGACCCCCCACCTCCCTCCCGGATGGGGCGGCTGGCCGGACGGGGGCTGCCCCCCCCACCTCCCTCCCGGACGGGGTGGCTGCCGGGCGGAGACGCTCCTCACTTCCCAGATGGGGTGGCTGCCGGGCGGAGAGGCTCCTCACTTCTCAGACGGGGCAGCTGCCGGGCGGAGGGGCTCCTCACTTCTCAGACGGGGTGGTTGCCAGGCAGAGGGTCTCCTCACTTCTCAGACGGGGCAGCCGGCAGAAACGCTCCTCACCTCCCAGACGGGGTCTCGGCCGGGCAGAGGCGCTCCTCACATCCCAGATGGGGCGGCGGGGCAGAGGCGCTCCCCACATCTCAGACGATGGGCGGCCGGGCAGAGACGCTCCTCACTTCCTAGATGTGATGGCGGCTGGGAAGAGGCGCTCCTCGCTTCCTAGATGGGATGGCGGCCGGGCGGAGACGCTCCTCACTTTCCAGACTGGGCAGCCAGGCAGAGGGGCTCCTCACATCCCAGACGATGGGCGGCCAGGCAGAGACACTCCTCACTTCCCAGACGGGGTGGCAGCCGGGCAGAGGCTGCAATCTCGGCACTTTGGGAGGCCAAGGCAGGCGGCTGCTCCTTGCCCTCGGGCCCCGCGGGGCCCGTCCGCTCCTCCAGCCGCTGCCTCCCCGGCGGCGCTCGCCGGCGCGGCGGCAAAGACTGAGACAGCTCCGCTGCCCGCTGAACTCCATCCTCCCGGCGGTCGGGCGGCGGCGGCTGCCAGTATTTTGTTATAGCAGCTAAAATTAAAACAATGGTATTACTTTTGAGTTTCTTCTACTGAAATTTATTGAACTTTATCAAAGTTAGAAAGTATTGTTAGATGTGAATTAATGGGCAGCTTGCAATGTCTTTCATGTCCCATTCAAGAACTCTACACTATGCTTTAAAATTTTATATTTGCAAATATAAATGTAAATATCCTTATGAAACACCTATTAGCTCTAAGGAGGAGGATACACAGGAGGCTGTCAGATGGCTCTGACACAATGAACCCTTAGAACAGGACAGAAAACCTTTGTGCCCCAGACATCCTCCCTGGCTAAGAGCAAGTTAAATACTCAAAGCAATTGACCACATTTTGAGTTTTCCCTGCCCCTAAACAACAGTTGGCTTGGTCTTGCCTTTATATGAATCGAACTCAGGTGTTCTCTACTGCCAACTTTGATTCTCATTTTTGGACCTTCTAGGATTTGTATTCATAGGTGGTCCTTTCTATTTGCAGACCTTGGGTTTATAGAATTGATTGTTGTTTGACTTTTTTACCTTACCTCTGGAAAAAAAATTTTGCCATCCCAATAACTCAATCTTCTCCACTTTTCTTTGCCACTTTGTGCCCAGTCCTATAATTCTTAATCACTCTCAAAAACCCTAAGGAAAGAGACACCCCATTATGGAAGAGAAGTTTATGTGAATGATGATTTTAATTACTGTACATTTGTTTGAAAATTGCCAACTGAGAAGAAGCTAGAGAAAAAGCCAGAAACCTGCTTGACACTATTAATTATTTTGAGTGTCTGAATAAAGTCTTAGAAAGCATATTGATCAGATTCCCAGATGGTTCAGTTCTAGGTGGTCTGACTGACAAGAAAGGTGATAAAATAAATATTCATCCTTGAGTAATGATAGACAGGCTATTTTATTTTCTTGCCTGGATTTTCAACATATCTGCTTACATTAGTTTTTAACAGGAGAATTCATTTTAAAAAATGCAAATTTTTATCAGTATAGGTTGAAATACTGGACTGAATACAAAAAGATTCTATCCAGAAGAATGACACAAAAATACACATTTGTGTTTTGTTTTTTAAAATTTGCTAAAAATACAAAATGGTGAGGACATGGCTTGTCAGCTAGAAGGGACTGAGCTTAACAGCTGTCAGTATGTCGAAAAAATCTGGATTCTGTAGACATGAGCTGACTTAAAAACAACAGAACATTAATAATCATAGACTGAATTAATAGAATTGTGGTATCCAGATAAAAGAAGTTAAAAGACTGTTAATCAAAGAAGACTCTCAAATATTTCTCTGCCAAGGCATACTTAAATATGAACATGAATATAGTCTGAATTTCACTCAATATAAGATAAATTAAAATTAGGGTTATATTAAAATATATTCTCTTTTGAAATGACCAAGATTAAAGAGTCTGATGTCATAATGTATCAGTGAGGAAATGGGTGAAATATATATTTTTGATAGTTGTTTACATTTCTAACAGTTTGGAGGATAACAATTTGGCATCTATCAAGTTTGTAAATATGCCTACTCATTGTGGTCAACTGTGCTGGGAAATATTTTAAATATTTGCTTCCATCCCTATGGGGAGATAAGGATATATCCATACCCAATTGATTTGAGCCTTGACCACATGCCTTTCTTTGTGAATAGAAGCAACATGTATTATTATTTCCAAGGAGAAACTTTAAGTACCCTCACACAGTTAGTCACGTTCTCTTTTCCTTCTACCAAAAACCTAGCATGTCCTAGAGGATTACTCCTTTAATCCAAGCCAAAGTAGCCTGCAATAGACATGTAACATGAGTGAGAGAGCAATCTTTAATGTTATAAGCTACCAAGAGTTTGACATCATTTGTTATTATGGAATAGTTTAGTGTAATCTGGTTGATGTAAGCTATAGCATTTAACTCAGTGGTTCTACTTGTTTAAATTTATCCTGTAGCTATACTCAGGACTATATAAAATGGTATACATACATGGATATCTGTTACTATATTATATGTAATAATAAACTATTACAACCACCCTAAATGCTCATCAGTATGGAAGTGGCCAAATAAAATATAATGCAGTCATATAAAAATATTCTGAAGTTGCAAAAATATTATGCAGTTTCTTTCTATTCACAAAGAAAGTCATGTGGTTAAGGCTGACATCAATGGGGTGTGGATATATAATTATCTCCCCATAGGGATGGAAGCAAATATTTAAAATATTTCTCAGCACAGTTGACCACAATGAGTAGGCATATTTATGAATTTGATAGAGGCCAAATTGTCCTCCCCAAAACTGTTAGAAATGTAAACAACTATCAATTTTATGTATTAATATGGGTTGATCTCAAACATGTATTTACAGTTATGTAAATAAGAAGGCAAATATAAAATATTTATGTGTTTATACATAGACTTTCTCTGAAATGAGATAGGAACTTGACTCTGTGTAAGAGAAATGGATGACCAATAAGTAAGTTTGAAAGGGTGTTTTTTTAATTGTGTACCCTTTTGTACCTTTGGAATTTTGAATGTATATGAATTTACGTTACATATTTAAAAGAAAAACAAAATGTTAATTACCAAAAGAAGATATAACATTTGATTAGACCATATATGAATTTTGGAGTTCTTCACTCTCTAATAATTTTAGATTGATTTTATAATCAATCCTGCCTCTATCACTTTGCTGAATATATCACTTGTCCATTCTACCTACTAAATAACTCTAACCATTTCTTATGTTCAATCTCACTATATAGCTTTTTTTCCCAGTGTAGCCCACTTGGATTTTTATGCCTTCTCTGAATTACAGTAAACACAGTTGGTGCCCTGCCTAGAACTACTTACTGAGTTGGTGTGCCCATATTGCAGCTACTGTAAGTGTTGCAATGATTAACATCTGAATTCTTCTCTGGAGAATTGTCCTTGGCCAATGGGAAATCTTTTACCCTGAAATGTCTGGGAAGTTATGGAACTGCCCGGAGGACGCTTATAGCTAGAGCTAACTGAATCAAGGGTAAACAATCTTGTGCATCAAGATGGAACAACTTTGTGGTGCCATTTGCACTCCAGAGCTCCCAATGAGATCATGACTGAAAATCAAATATTTGTTCAGTTTATTCTTCCCCATGATCCTGATTTCTTTATTTCCTCACAGATTTCCCCAATTGTGTTCATCTTGTCAGCCCACGGGACACTGTATTTACCAACTTAGTACACTGCGTGTGTGTGTGTGTGTGTGTGTGTGTGTGTGTGTGCGTGTCTATGTCTGTGTGTGTAGTGGGCCAACATTATTGTCAGTTGTGGTCAGTAGTGGCTCTCCTTTGTAAGTTGGGCTTTTTATCACAGATCTAAGATTCTTAGCAATGAGAATGATGGAATCCTAGACTAGCAGAGGCCAAGTAACAGTACTTAACTTTGAAAAGTCATATTGTATTTACTCATATTTTTGTTTACCATGCACTTTCTTTCTTCTTCATGCTCCAAATTTCTTTCCTTTATTGTTTCTATTCTGTTTAGGAAATTTCCTTCAGCCATTCTTTTAGTGCAGGTCTGCTGGCCACAAGTTCCTCAGTTTTCCTTCATCCTAGAGGTTTCCTCTTTATTCCTAAAGGATATTTTCACGGGATAAAGAATTCTGGGATGACTTTTTTTTTCTTTCAACACTTGAAAAATATTGTGACACTTCCCTCTGACCTCCAAGGTTTCTGATGAGAAACCTGATATTCAAATTAGTTTTCCCTTTCCCTTTTAGATATGGTGATGGTTTTTCTGTACGCTTTTACAGATTTTTTGTTCGTTTGTTTGTTTCTTTGTTTTTGAGACAGAGTCTCGCCCTATCGTCCAGGCTGGAGTGCAGTGGCACGATCTCTTCTCACTGCAACCTCCACCTCCCAGCTTCAAGTGATTCTCCTGCTTCAGCCTCACAAGTAGCTGGGATTACAGGCATGCACCACCAGACCCAGTTAATTTGTGTATTTTTAGTAGAGATGGGGTTTCACCATGTTAGCCAGTCTGGTATCAAGCTCCTGACCTCAAGTGATCAGCCCGTGTTGGCTTTCCAAAGTGCTGGTGAAATGGGAAAATTTCCCTTATTCCCCTCACAGGGCATGCAATGGGAGTGTGGCTCACTTCTTTGGTGCCCCACTGCTCAAACACCTAGGGGGAACATGCAGATGGGCAGGTTTGTGTGGCTCCAACCCCACACCAGCATCTATTGTTGAGTGTTTACAGTTCCTGAAGCCCTAGTGTGTGTGTGTTACAGTGTGCTCTTTTAGCTTAGCCATCTGCAGGTGGCTTGTGTTAATCAGCTCAATGAGACCCTCTGCCTTGTCACAAGGACAGAGGGCTTTCTGTATCCTGGGTTCCTGCCTTGGTGTACTAGAAAAATCAGATTACACATGGGCTTGGAGAATGAGTGTAAGGTTTTATTGAGTGGAGGTAGCTGTCAGCAGATGGATGGGGAGCCAGAAGGGGAGGCAGTGGGAAAGTGGTCTTCCCCTGGAGTCTGGCTGCCCCTAACCGGCTTCCTCGTTGTCCCACGGTAGATGGCCTGCTGGCATCTGTTGGTGTCTGACTGTATGCTCTACCACTCCTCTACTCCTCTCAACGTTCACCGCCTATGTGCTCTTTTGCTGGTGTGTTCCTCTTGATGTCCAGACAATTGTGTGCATGCCCGCTAGGGTCTCAGGATTTTTATAGGCACAGAATGGGAGGCGTGGCAGGCCAGAGTGGTCTTGGAAAATGCAATTTTGGGTGTGGAAACAGGAGTGCCTATCCTCACCTAGATTCTTGGGTATAGGCTGGAGGGTGGAGCCCTCACCAGGGACCACACCCTTTTCTACTCAGCACTTCCCTGCCCCCATCCTGTATGACTGGGATTACAGGCATGAGCCCAGTCCTGTTTTTCGTGTTTTATTTTAGTTTTCAGAAGCTTGGTAATGATGTGTCTTGGCATAGATATCTGTGGGGTTATCATAGTTGGTGTTTGCTTAACGTCTTGAATCTATAGGTGTATGTCTCATCAAATTTGGGAAGTTTTCAATATTTATTATTTTGTTTGTTTTATTTTGATTTTTTGAGGTAGGGTCTACTCCGTATCCCAGACTGTAGTGCAGTGGCATAATCACAGCTCACTGCAACCTCAAACTCCTGAGCTCAAGCAATCCTCTGACCTCAGCCTCTTGAGTAGCTGGGACTACAGATGCATGCCACCATATCCAACTAATTTTTTGTTTCTGTTTTTGTAGAGATGGGGTCTCACTATATTTCTCAGGTTTGTCTCAAACTCCTGGGCTCAAGCAACCTTCTCGCCTTGGCCTCTGGTATTACAGGCATGAGCCACCATGCCAGGTCCATTATTTCTTTAAATATTTTTTCAGCCCCACATTTTCTCCCCTCTCTTTTCAATTTTTCAGATGACACAAATGTTAATTCATGTATTATAATCCTATATGTCATTGAGGCATTTTTTGTTTGGTTGGTTGGTTTGGCTTGTTTTCTTTCGGTCTATTTTCTCGCTATTCTTCTATATTCCAGTTCACTGACTGTTTTTTTCTGCCCCTCTATCCTGCTACTGAGCCTATCCACCAAGTATTTTATTTTTTGTGTTGTATTTTTCAGTTCTAAAATTTCCATTTTGTTCTTCTTTATTTTTTCTTTGTCTTTGTTGAGGCTTTCAATTTCTTTGCTGATAATTTCTAGTTTTCAGTTTATTTCAAACATGTTCATCATTGCTTTTAAAACAAACATGTTGTGACTGCTTCAAAATCTTTGTCAAATAATTCTAACATCTCTGTTATCTTGATGCTAGCATGTTCATTCTGGCTTTTAATATGAGTTATTTTTTATCAAAATGTGCACTTTTAAAATGTTAAGACACAGAATCTCATTTTAACCTTCTGCTGTCACTGGATTTCTCCAATAGCACTCCAGAGTCTGTCTCTTTACTACCGAGTGGAAGTAAAAGTCCAGGTTCCCTACTCAAGTCTCCACTGCCACCTGAGATGGGGAAACCCTCTTTACTACTAGGTGGATATGGGAGTTTCAGCCCCCCGCTTGTATATTTTCCAGTGACACCATGCATCATGTACAGGTGTCCTTGTTACTAACAGGTGATGTTGAAAGTCCTGACTGTCCCCTGGACCTCCTCTACTAATACCCAAGGGAGGAATGGGAGAAGCACCTCATTGCTGCTGCACTGGGGTGGAAGCCCAGGCTTACCATGTGTTCTCCATTGACACTGGGATGGGAGCTGGGCTCACTAATACTGACGGGGGTCATGAAGGTCTCATCTCTCTACTTGGTCTTCTCTGATACCACTCTGTTGGGGCTGTGGGCACACCTTTTTATAGGCAGGAGAGAATGGAGTCAGAATTACCCATTTAGACTTTGCTGACATGGAGGATAGGACCAGTTTTTTTTTCTGTGTTATTTGACTAGGATAGAGCAGTTATTGTCTGAGAAATTGTCCATATTTCTTGTGTGCCCCAAGGTTTTTAGTACTCTTAGTGGGAGGAATAGGGAAATGTTCATCTATTTCCTCTTCCTGGAAGCAGTCTCAAGACTTGAAAGACAAAAACAAAAACAAACAAACAAAAAAATGGAAACAATTCTTCACTGATTTAGGACTCATGCTCCCCCATTCAGTCAAATCCAAATTCTATATTGTATTTCATTCTAGAAACAGAAATCTCCCCACTCCTTTTCATTCCTAAAGGTTTAAAAATAAATCCTCTAGGCTTTTTCCATCCCTCAAGCTGATTTTTCTTACTCTGACATTAATAAATGCTTTCATCAAATGGCACTTGATCAGATGGTTTGTGTGACCTGATAGGGTGACACAGAACCTCTTTTCAAACTGACAGAGTATTCAAAGGCTTTACTCTTTCCAGAAGTAAAGCTGCTTTGTAAATGCCAGATTCTTTTAAAATTGTGTTCCTTGCAACTGCATGTATTATTCATCTGACTGAAGTATCCCACACTGTCAAGGGGGAAAATTGCAAGAAATCCATCTTTGAGCTTTCCTTTGATGCTGTGAGAAGATTCAGAATGAGTGGACTGGAAGATGATTGTATTTTTCCTTTACCTTTTGGTTAAACTGATGATATCTGCCGCATGCTTTATATCACCATGTGACATGTCTCCCAGGAGGATGACCCTGAGAGTTTGAGTCACCCAAGAAAAAAGAAGTAAGTCATGAGATCCAAGTGTCACTGAGGAGTTACCCATGCTGACAAACAGCTACACACATTTCTGTAGCTCTGCCCATAATGCTTTTTGAATGGGGCACCAAGCAACTTACTTGATAAAGTAGTAATAGCAGCAGACGCTGCAAAGTGCCTAGATATGTTCTTCCTAGTACACAATTTACAAGGCCAGGTCTTAAATGAGATAGAATGATACAAAGGTAAGACTGGAAAAGCCTTTACTGGTCATGAATCATAACCTCTTTACCTATCCTGCCATTCTACAGGTGAGAAGACCAGGAAGTTTCAGTGACTTGCCCAGTGGCAAATAATGGCAAAACTAAGACTTACGTCCAGATTTCTAGTTTTAAGCCCTTGTTCTTTCATACACACCATACGGTCACATAAAATGACTTTTAAAATGCTGGCCGACTATTCTAAAGTAGACAGAAAATTATCAAACTACCATAGAAGTGCAATCTATGTGACCTTTGGGAACTGATTCCCATAAGCCAAGAGTGTGATGACTAAGGCATTCAAAAACACGGAGGAGCTGCAGGAAATGGGCTGTGATTCATTTAGTGGGTCCCTGTGACAATCTATTCCCAAGTTGTCTTTATGGTCAGCTAGAAAGTGAGCCAAACCTGGACCCCTCTGCGGTCTCTACAAATCATAGAGTACAGCACAATTTACCCTTCCAAAGTGGGTCCTAGTTGAGCAATAGTTTAGAATTCCTTTCTGATTCAATTTTGGAGAATGACCTCTAACTGACCTAAATTCTCCTGAAGCCTAAAATTGTATGTAGTTTCCATCTTCTTTTGCTACCCTAAATTATGAAGCTCTTCTGCACAGCTGTTTAAAAAGTTGGATTCTATACAGAGTTATCAGGGACTATTTGTACATTAAATGGGTTTTTTTATGTTTAAATATAACCGGCATGCATATGAAGGGTTCAATATCTGTTTATGAGTTCATACAATCAAAACATGTTTTATGAAATGTATTTGATGTTAAATGCCACTTTGTATAAGTGTGTTATTATTTGCCATCAGAAAAAAAGGATGTAAAAATGCCATATGGAAGCAAGAGACTAAATTTTTTTTATAATTATATTTTACTTAATCCCCAAATCGGGGCACCTGGTAAGTAAATATTAATACGTGCAACCTGGACCCCCAAAAGATCCAGATCTCATGATTGTCAGAAACTTGGGGAAACTAAGTTCTCTTAAGAAGATCTATTAGTTCCTCAAAGTCCTTATTGTGGAAATGATTAGAATTCTCTTAATTTTTTCCCTGAGTATTTTTTGAAACTTTTACATCTATTAGACCTTGGTTTTTGCAAATATTTGACAATCTTTCAAATCTAATAGCACATAAAAAGCAATAAACAAACATAGGTTGAATAAGTGAGGAAAGCAGGAGTTTATCTGGTAGACAATAAGAGGGCCAGTGGGGGGCCTTAATATAAGTTTGTTGGGGGACATTTATCCATAGGTAGTTCTTGCATCTGCCTATTTTCTGAACAAAGGTATTGATAGCTTTGTTCCTTATTGTCTTTTCAAGGATGTTTGTATGGTAAATAGCCTTGGAAAAGAGAGAGTGTATGTGTCTCTGTCTAGGGCAGAGGGAAGATTTGTTTTCTCTCCAAGATAATAAAGATAATGTTTCCCTCCAGGATAAAAGTTGGGCAGGTTGACTAGCTGGTCTTTCGGGAGATTGAGATTTTCTTAACCTAGGATTCCTAAGGTGTGACACGTATTTACTATGTGTACAGCATTTCCTCGAGCCATTCTGCATTACCCCCTGGGACTTTGGAGGCAAGGGGGACTAATGGGAACATATAATTATGCCCTCTGTCTCTGACCCAAGGGTCTCATGCCATCTACTAGTATCTATGAAACTGTGGCAAGCTAACATACTAGCTTGAAAGCAGAGTAAAACCTCAGACTTTTCATAGTTCTTATTTACAGGTGATACTAACATTCAAATGCTACATTTCCACATCTTACCTATGAGACCTACCTTAGCAATCTAAACTGAGTGCTTCTATAAGGAGCCACAATAGCTAGAAAAAGAAACAGGATTAAAAATGATGAAGGTGCTCTACCTCCTGGTCAACTATGGTAATATTTCAATTTAAGACCCTGTCCTATATTTCACACTTTCATCAAGGCCATATATAAATGTTAGAGTGACACTGATGGTGATCTTGAAAGGGAATGAGAGAGACATTTCCCATATAAATGTTGCCATGGGCACAACAATTCTATTCTCTGCTTTCCTAAACTCTGGGTGTTCTTTCAGTGGCTTCCAGCACCCATTGACATTTCCTGTCCAGAACTATAATTTTATCTTGCCATTCTGGCTCTTTTGTCATAAATGTTAAAACTTTTCTGAATACAGTTAGTAAGATATATCAAAGAACGTTAATTTATAGGTTAAAATCTAAGCTCAAAAACACCAAGCCCTATTTTGCCTTTCCTGGTATTAGAAGATGGGGAACTTCTCTGTTTCTTACAATAATACAGATTTGATTGTAAGGATAAATGCACAGGAGCAGTTGGATACAGATATATAATTGAAATGAATAAGTTACTTAGAGAAAATGCTTGAACTATGCTGTCGATAGGCTAGCCACTAGTCATGTATGGCTACAGAGTACTTGAAATGTGGCTACTCCAAATTGTCATGTTGTAAGTGTAAAGACACTGATTTTGAAGACCGATTACCAAACAAAATGTAAATACTCATTAATATATTTTTATATTGATTTCATGTTGAAATGATAATACTTTAGATATGTTGGGTTAAATAAAATACAATATTAAAATGATTTTTGTTTCTTTTTTACCTTTTTTTCATGGCTACTAGAAAACTTAAAAATTATATATATGATTTTTTTTGTATTCTATTTCTATTGGACGCTGCTGTGCTGGACTATTCCTTGCCATCTACCTTAGTGATATAAACTGAGTGGGGCTATAAGAAATCTTAGGGCTGATCCAATAGTTATAAACTAAATCATGTCAACTGTTAAACAATTGATGAAAGACTTAAATCACTTGAGGACTTTCAAATAGAGTGCAGTTTCTTTAGGGCAAAGGTCATTATATTAATAGATTGTCATAACTTTCCTTTTCCCTACTGACGATTAGTATCTCACTTAGCTTAATAATTTTTGTGAGTTGAATGAATAATAAGAAACTCCAGGAAAAAGAAAACCTACAAGTGTGGCGTTTTGGAATATGAGGAGATTGTACATATTAATTCCAAACAGGATGCCTGCATATTCTATTACTTCTCTTAGCCGTCATTTGTAGTCTTCATTTCAGACAGCAGCCTTACGGTGCAATTTATCTATCCATAGATCTTTCTGGTTTTTTTTTAAGAAATCTAAGCTGGGAATGCTTGTTTTTTCTCATGCATATTCACTTCTTTTAGAACACATAGGATAGTAATGGGGGTTAATTAAAGTGAGAATCACTTGTGCACAGATAAGTAAGTTAATAGATTCATAAGCAAAAAAAAAATTTTTTTTCTTAAGATTGTGACCTTATAAAGTCATTCAATAAGTTTTTGTGTGTAGGGACATAGAAAGTCCTAACAGATAGGACAAAGAAGCAGTTTCCATGACGCCCTTGTGCTATCTTCATATCTTGCTTTATCTGCTTGTGGGAAATTCTACCAGTGAACAGGGAGAGATGTTCCCAAAATGTAAGATCCATGGCCATTAGCACTCATGTATGTTGTGGCAGAAATTAATGGCTGGCATATGAGAGGCAGGGGTAAAGAAAGCAGCAGTATTCTAAGATCTATAAAGCATATTTGGTGTGTTCTTTGTTAGGTTTAATCAATAGTGATGCTGGTAAATGAAGGATAATTAACACATAGCAGTTATGTTATAAATACTAATATAAACTTACTTTGTGATAAGCCATTTATATTATATGGTTTTTAAAGATACCTAAGAGGAGAGATGTTATCCCTTTTTTTATAATTAAAAATAGCCTAACTTTGAGAGAGAGGTTAAGTGTCGTGCCTAGAGATAGGCTATGATCTGAGTGTTTTTATTTCCCCCCAAATTCATATGTTGAAATCCTCACTCCCAAGTTTATAGTATCAGGAGATGGGACTTTGGGCGGGGGTGGTGGTGGTGATTAGGTCATAAAAGAAATTAGTTGCTTTATCAAAGAGGCAGGAGAGATATTCCTTGCTTATTCCCCTGTGTGAGGACACAGTAAGAAGGCACTGTCTACAAGCAAGAAAGCTGGCCCCCGCCAGACAATGAATGGTGCCTTGATCTTGGACTTCCCAGCTTCCAGAACTGTGGGAAATAAATTATTGTTGTTAATAAGTCACCCAGTCTGTAGTATTTTGTTATAGCAGTCCACTGGACTAAGACAGGACATAATGCTTCTCAGGAAAAGAGTCAAAATTCGAAACCATGTCTAGGCTAACTCCAAAGTCCCTGCTTTCTATTAAACACATTCCACCTCCTCTCCAATGTAACAATGGCATTATTATAATAATAATAATGATAGAGGAAAAACACAAATAGTGTCCACTGCATTATCCTTACAATTACCTGTTGTTTCTGCCTTCCTCCATTTCTCCTTCTCTTCCTCCCTCCCTCGCTTCTCCTGATCCTCTTCCCCATCTCCTACTCTGGCTTTTACTATTTCTCACTCTCCCTTTCCTCTCCTTCTCCCCCTAATAATTCTCCCTTTCTTTTTCTAGTTTCATTCATTTTTCCTTCCCTCTTTTCCAGCTTTTACTACCTAAGCTGCAGTCCTCTCAACACCCTCTGGGAACCTTGAGTTGTGATAAAGTCTGGTTGCTAAAGCAATGCAAATGGCTATTGCAATAACTCAAGAGGCCAATATAGCCCCAAATTTCCTTAGACTTGAAGATAATTTTTCCACAAAATACTACAGATGTTCTATTAGCATAGAATCCTAGAATGGCAGAGCTGGAAGGGAACTTGGAACTTACCTAGCCTGATACCTACATGAAATACCAAACTGAACTCTAGCTCCGGGAAGCTAAGAGGCTGCCCCCAGGGGACCAAGCTGGTTAGTGAAAAAGCCAGAACCAGGATCTAGGAATTCTTATTTTAGTTTCTAGGAAGGTGCATGAAAAATTAAGTAGAAATGTGAAAATGCAAATCTATTGACTAGCATTAAGTGAGGCTTATAAAAGTGAAGTTTGTTTCCTTGTTCCATACAGATGTTGAGATGATACATGAAATAATGTGTGTAAAAGTGCTCAGTGCTCTTAGAAAGGCCTGATTTAAATGTGAGGTAATACGTACGTATTGCCTAAAAATTAAAGAATGACCTTTCATAGACTTAAGCCAACCCGAAGGAGTTGTTGGACTATAAACCCTTTAATGCTGTTTAACCTAGGTGACAAGACTTCTCTTTATATGTAATACATGGCTATTGAATGGATGCCAAGTAGATGTCTGTTTTACCACTGTTTCTGTTCAGCAGAAAAACTTTCTCTGGGTAAGTATATAATGTAGTGCCTGAACAGCTGCAGATGCAGTAGATGGATTCCAATTTTTCTCTGCCTCTATCTGATTCCCCAGCTGATCCTAAAAGAAAATTTATTGCTGGAGTCTAATTTGACTCACAGTTAGGTCTCGTCTCTCCTATCCAATGTGTGCTTTGGTTGAGGGAGGTAGCTCATTTTAGAGGAAAGACGTCTGTGCTGAGTGGCAAAACCTTAATCCTATATGAAGTTGTGATTCTAATTAGCCAAATAATTTGTACAAAATATGTAACCATTTGCTTCATTTTATCATCTGTAAAATGCAGGTAATATTGGCATTGATCTCCAAAAATAAGTAGTAACTGAGATGATGTGGATGTTATAATTTACTCAGAATCTGACACATTGTGAGGCTCTAAAAATATTAGTTATTAGTTTTTTGTTTGCATGAAACTTTGTTTCAGGTGTTAGGATTTAGACTGTCAATATTTCTGTCTTTTAATAAGCAGCTTCAGAAAATTGTGTTTATCACTCAGATCAAAGCTCTGTGAACTGGAATTGCATTTCAGAAGAACAGATTGATGCCCCACACATGAGATATCTTTCCCCAACAGGCCAAAATGTTTTACAGATTGGATGTTTGGCACAGAACAGCATTCTGAAATAAAACTCCTATTGTTTTTCTCTTTCTTCTTATAAAAGTTTTTAAAGGGAATTGCAATCTTGGTTATTTATTTGCTTCCATGGAGAGAAAGAAAAAGAGCACATCTGTTTGCAATAGTGAATTGAAAGGTCTAAAAATAAATATGCTTTAAAGAAAAGAAACAAAACTTTGTTGGCATTCTAAATCCAATCGGCACAAGGAAAATGTTTTTTCTAGAGAAGATTGGCTTCCTTTAAAAAAGAAAGAGAGAGCAAATAATGTAGAATTATACAGTTCTAGTGAAGTGGTTCACCACATAAAAATGTATTTTTTTTTACTCATAAATAGTTTTAAATGTGACGTAATATCTTAACATTTACATTTTAATTCTGAATATACCCTGTGCCTGTCATTTTCCCTAAAAAGGGACTGGTGAGATATAAAAATGATTCCTTTACTCTGATAATCTGGAATTAGAAAGTAAAATGTCAAAGGACAAATATCTATAGTTTGTGTTGGCTCTAGTCTTGGAAAATTCGGTTGCTTTCTACAGTGAAAAGTGCTTTACTTAGATACACATTTTAGATTGTGTTGCCACCTTTTCATCACTTTATATGGAACGTAAAAGCCATCCATTGTAAAATAGGCTTAGAAATACTATTCTGACTATAACCATTTCACAGAGAAGGGAACCATCATGCCAAATGACCTACAGGGCAGTTTTCTCTTGGGAAGCCTAGATCAACTAAGGTTAGGGAGTGGAAGTGGTAGGGGAGAAATTAGGGTTGATGAATAAAGGGGAGCTTAGAGGAAATGGAATAGAAAACAAATGGGATCGATAGAGATGGAAGGGCTGCTGGGGTATCTTGAAAGACAAACACTGGCTGCTCAAAAGCAGCTGAGCCAGAAAATCCTTGCAAATGGGCCGCTAAAAGGCATTTGTCCCAGCGAAGAGAAGGAGGTCCAGGAAAGAGAGATAAGGGTTAAGAAGCATTTCTAGAGATGAGAGCATAGGCTTGCTAGTTAAAATCATCCTAAAGAAGGGAGGATGTGCACAGGAATATTAGTGAAGTGCTTGGCGTCCTTGGTGAGCCCAGAAAGTTAAATACTCTTTTACCTGGGTCAAAGCATATCTCAAGTGATAAATTGGAAATAAATCTAAATAAGTGATTAATATATTAAACAATTGAATACTTCAATGTAGTTGTAACCTGCGAGTTTAATATTCAGTATTTGCTCTAGAAATGGCATTTTTAGTAAAGTAATGTACAGGATAAAATACCAGGAAAATAAGTGAGAATATTGAACCCTTGTGTGGTTGACCTGCCTAAGTTAGCCCTTCCATGTTACCTATCTAGAAATGGGTAAACGCATTACATGTAATGTATATTGCATATATAAGTGGCTGCCCTCATCTTGTAATAGGGCACATTAGTCTGTCCCTGAGGAAATCTTATAAATAACTCTTAGCATTTCCTGATATTCCAAGCCTTTCCACCTTTTCCTCCAGGCAAAATTTACTGGTGTCACATTTCCTTGAGCTTGCAATATCATAAACAAGACATTTAAAAATACTATTTGGAGTAGGTCAGTGCCCTCAAGGCCATGGAGAAACTTATATATTTTAATAGAGTCCTTAGAAAATATGAAGGTCCTCTGTAATGGTGGCATAACCTGAAACAGTCTCTAAAATACATCTTCTGTTAACTCTTTAGTTTTTCATATCATTATGATTTGGACATTAAAAATGTCTGTTCAAGTAATCACTCAGAGTTTCCCATATTTGCCATCTGTACCTTCTTACCTCATTTATACACTCCATCCTAGTCTGATCAGCTATCTCACGCCATCCAAACTGCTCTTAGAAGGTCATCTGGGTTTCATATTTTCATTCCTTCTTTTAACTTGCCAACTTGTCAGTATTTGCCACAATTTTGGTTTAAAAGGCCTTATCCTTTTGATTCTGGGAAGCACTCTCTGTTTTGCTTCTACCTCCTTTGCTTCCTTCTCAATCTCTTTTGGAAGACCTTCCTCTTAAACCCGATGAGCAAGTATTTGAATTCTTCAGGACTCTATATTATCACCTTTCTTGTGTCTCTCCACATTTCCCTCCCAGATGCTCTCAGCCACTTATGGCTTCATTCATGATGATATATTTACATCTTCAACCAAGACTCCTCTTCTGAGCTTCTAACAAGTATATGCAACTATTAATTTAACAAATCTACTCCAATTAAATGGTATAAAGGTACTCTCAAGATTTTCACTTTTGATTCCCTCTTCAATGAATAGCACCAGTGCTTGCCCACTTTCTCATGTCAGAAACCTGGGCACCAGCTTTGTGGCCTCTTTCTTCTTAATATCTGCTCAATCACCTAAGCTTGTTAAGAATCTTCCAATGTATATCTTCCCTAACACAAGCTACCAACACATCTCATCCTGGTTTCCTTCAAAAGTCTCCTAAATGATATATGTTTACCTATTTACCTGCTTCCAGTCTATTCTCCAGATAGTTATTAGAATAATTGTTTATTTTAAAAAGACTAATCTAATCTTATCACTCCACCACTTAACACTTTTATATATCTCCCCATGACTCTTAGATTAAATTCTATTGGACTTTTATAAAACTAACAGTCCTTACCCTGGTCCTAAAGTCTTATATGACCTTTTCCTTGTTTATCTCTTAGGCCGCATATCCTAAAAATCTCCCACTTTCTCACTAGTGCTTCATTCTTCAGGACTAACTTTTGGTTGTTTAGCTGTCTGAGTTCTTCTTGCACTGGAATAATGACTCAATTTAAAGCTTTTTCTCCCATCCATTTGCTCTTAACTTGGCACATTCTTCATCATTCTTTTGCATTAATTTTAGCTATAACTTCCTCAGAGAAACTGTACTGTTCATCTATACCAATTTAAGGCTATCATGTTTTATCTTTCAGTATATCTAATACATAATTAGCTTCATAGTTTATATAACAAACTGAAATAATTAACTGTGTAACAATGTGTTTAATTTTTGTGTCCCTCACTGAAATCTGAACAGAGTTTGATCTAGATCTTTCTTATTCACTACTCTATCCCTAATACTTTATCTCCCTATATTTCCACTGTATTTACAATACTGTATTTTCACTACATTTAGTATCATGCCTTTCTGCAGGTCTCAATACATAGCTTTTGAATAAATAAATGAATGTAAAAATGGATGAATGAATGAATGAGTAAAATTATCATCATGATACTTAAAAAAATGGTGGTCTAAATGTTTCAAAACACAAAAGCCTTGTAGTTATACCAAGTATGAATAACCAGTGTTAAAGAATTATGTTCATTGTATTGTTGTTTGATTACCTCTAAGGTCAAAACAAAGCTTTTGATACCAACTAAAGTGTACTCCCTTAGATCGTTAGCTATAGACAAGCATAACCCTTTGGGAAGCAATTTGGCAACGGATTTTAAGAGATGTGCAAATAAATATGCTCCCTGGCTGAATAATCCTACTTGTAAGTATCCTTATAAGCCTGAAGACCACAGCAAGATTTCATCCTAGAAAATCTAAATTTGGAAACAACCCAGATGTCTGAAAATAGAAAACTGGTAAAATAGATTGCAATACATCTTTTTTCCAATGGAATAAATTAAAATTAAATACTTCAAATATGCACACAAAATGATTATAGCTTTAGAAAATATGCATG